>NW_021160021.1:0-56695 GCF_000001405.40 Homo sapiens | reverse complement strand
GAATTGAACACATTGGCCAAATAAAGTTGAAATTTTACCACCTGTCCTTGCCTCGGGTTTATGATCTCACCAAGCCCGGAGAGCTGGGCTGGAATGCGGACGCCAAGGCCATCTGCCAGGCCTTAGTGGGGTTACTGGTGCTGAGAGGCCTCGCCCCTGGGACGAGGTGCAGATGCAGAAACAGGCCCCAGTCTCCCCAGCAGAGCTGTGCAGGCTTGCGATTCCCGGGGAGGATGCCTTCCCTGCCTGTAGGCTGCTTTACCTGGACTCTGATGGGGCTTCTGTGATTCTGGACCCTGGATGTGGACACGGGTGGAGCCACCCAGCCCCATGTGATGCTCAGACTCCTGGTCATTCCCTCCCATCCCCGCCGTGGAGTGACGAGAAATCAGGTGGACTCAGGCTTCAAGGATGGGTGAGAGGAACAGGGGGCCCTGCTTATCACTAACCCTTCACACGATAAAGGGCAGGGCTGGGCGCAGGGACGCGCGCCTGGAATCCCAGTGCTGGGGCAACACGGGGAGACCCCGTCTCTAGGAAAAATTAGAAATTAGCTGGGCATGGTTTGCACCTACAGTCCCAGCTACTCGGGAGGCTGAGGCAGGAGGATCACTTGATCCCAGGAGGTCAACACTGCAGTGAGCGGAGATCGCGCCACTGCACTCCAGCTGGGTGACAGAGCTGTCTCTAAAAATAAGGATCTCCTGGTCTTTAAGTTGTAATTTGGCTTAACCTCAGCACTCCTGTGCTTCACATGCAGAAAAAACACATACACTCGATTTTTTTTGAGACGGAGTCTTGCTCTGTGGCCCAGGCTGGAGTGCAATGGTGCTGTCTTGGCTCACTGCAACCTCCGCCTCCCGGGTTCAAGTGATTCTCCTGCCTGAGCCTCCTGAGTAGCTGGGATTACAGACATCCGCCACCACGCCCGGCTAATTTTTTGTACTTTTAGTAGAGATGGGGTTTCACTGTGTTAGCCAGGATCTGCTGGCTGACCTCGTGATTTGCCCGCGTCGGCCTCCCAAAGTGCTGGGATTATAGGCGTGAGCCACCGCGCCCGGCTGAAAGTCAATTTTTCTGCAGACGGCAAGCCGCGGCCTGTGTGCAGGGCTGGGCGATGGCTCTGCTGAGCCTGGATTTGCTGCTTTTCTGCAGGGGAGGCAACAGGAGCTCTGTGGTGTCTGTGGGTCCCCCTGAGGGCAACGGCAGAGGCCCTGAGGATCCAGCAGGGCTCATGGTGGTCTCAGAGGGCGGTGAGGCAGGAGGAAGGAGCCCAAGGGTGCAGGTGGCAGGTGGGAGTGGGGGTGGAGCTGCAGCTCTAGGGAGGCTGCTCGGCCCTCAGAAGTTCGGATGGAACAAACGACCCTCACCAGGCTGCCTTGAGGAGCCCTGCCTGTGACTCTGTGAGCCCCGCCAACTTCACATCCTGATGTGCTTCCTAGAGTAGGAGCTTCCGCACTGCCGAGATTCCCGGGTGTCCTCCCAGTTCCCGAGCTTGCGGGCTGGCTGCAGCTGCTGGAGCCAGAGACGGCTCTCAAGCCAGACCAGGCCTCGCCGGGGGTGCGGTTCTCCCGTTCTCCCCGCTACCTCCCTTGCCGGCCCCACAGGCCCTCACAAACTCGGCCGCTCCGGCTCCTCCTGCCTCTGCTCCAGGCTGTGGAGTATCCGGCCAGCATGCCGCGAGGACCTGTGTCAACACGTCGCCAGCACCAGCCAGCCCGGTTTGCCCACATGTCCTTGGCCCCACACGGCTCACACCAGCTCGGCAGTCTGGGTGCTGCCGTCTGCCCCGGCCCCCAGCTCTGTGGGTCTTGGAGACAGCCCGTGCTGGGGCTGGTTTCTGGCTAGTTCAGCTCCAGGGCCTCAGCAGGGTTTGTGTGCCATGCCTGGGTCCTGCGACACAGTGAGCCGCGTACTCACGGAAAAGTGGGCAACGGCATCTGGAGGTGCCGTGGGAGGATGTGGGCAGAGGCCCGAGGGCTGTGGCTCCTTGCAGGGTCTCTGAGGGAGGCTGTCCTGAGTCACAGCTAAAGGGGTGGGCTGTATTTGTGCCTGTGCTCCCTGGCCGTGGGATGGGGTGCAGTGACCCTGTGGACCAGCTGTGCGGGGAGCCGGCCCTCTGGAGAGAACGTTGGGACATGGCACAGCTGCCCGCAGCACTGGTGTCATGTGCTCTGGAAAGGGGAGGGAGTCACTGATACCTTTCCCGTTTTGCAGAGGCAGCTGATGAGCACATTCCTGGGCTCGGCTGTGGCTGGGAGGTGGTGGGGCAGTGTCCAAAACCTCTCTGACTGGGCTGCTGGATTAGTGGGGAGACTTTGAAGGCTCTGGGAGGAGGTGGTTAGGGCTTAGCAGCCTGGGACTTCCCAACCCTCTGTCTCTCCAGGTGCCAGGAAGCCACCGGCCTGGAGCCTAAAACAGTGATTGCTGGGTCTATGTACCACACCCCGGGGGGCCTCTGACCTCAGGGAGGGAAGGGCCCTTCTGGCCCTAGGCTGGCCCTCCTGCCAGACTGCAGTGCGACCTGCGCTGACTTTTCCTTTTTTTTTTTTGAGACATAGTCTCACTCTGTTGCCCAGGCTGGAGTCAGCGCTGCGATCTCAGCTCCCTGCAACCTCTGCCTCCTGGGCTCAGGTGATTCTCCTGCCTCAGCCTCCTGAGTAGCTGCGATTACAAGCATGCACCACCATGCCCGGCTAATCTTTGTATTTTCAGTAGAGATGGGGTTTCACCATGTTGGCCAGGCTGGTCTCGAACTCCTGATCTCGGGTGATCCACCCACCTTGGCCTCCCAGAGTACTGGGATTACAGGCGTGAGCCACTGCGCCTGGCCTCAGCTGACTTTACTAACAGGGTCTCCCGGGTGCTTTTGCAGAGCACTGCTGGTTGCATTCACTGGACATTTTTTTTTTTTTGAGACAGGGTCTTGCTCTGTTGCCCAGGCTGGGGTGCAGTGGTGTGACTGTAGCTCACTGCAGCCTCAAACTCCTGGGCTCAAGCAATCTTTTGCACCTCAGCATTCTAAGTAGCTGGGACCATAGGCACCCAGTACCATGCCTGGCTAATTTTTAAATTTTTTGAAGGGAAGGGGGTCTCCCTATGTTGCCCAGGCTGGTCTTCAACTCCTGGCTTCAAGTGATCCTTCTACCTTGGCCTCCCAAAGTGCTGGGATTACAGGCGTGAGCTTCTGAGCCCAGCCAGGCCTCACTGGACTTCTAAAAGTTGGACGGTAGGCCGGGCGCGGTGGCTCACGCCTGTAATCCCAGCACTCTGGGAGGCCGACGCGGGCGGATCACGGGGTCAGGAGATAGAGACCATCCTGGCTAACACAGTGAAACCCCGTCTCTACTAAAAATACAAAAAATTAGCTGGACGTGGTGGCGGGCGCCTGTAGTCCCAGCTACCCCGGAGGCTGAGGCGGGAGAATGGCGTGAACCCGGGAGGCGAAGCTTGCCGTGAGCCCAGATCGCACCACTGCAGTCCAGCCTGGGCGACGGAGCGAGACTCCGTCTCAAAAAAAAATAAAAAAAGTGTGATGGTAAACCTTGTGCATCAGATGTTCTAGTTCGTCCTCCAGAAGGCAGAAACTTAGAGTCATGCAAACTAGGTCAATTTGCAAGTTCATATGGACCAAGAAGAATCAGGGACAAAACTCCATGAAGACAGGTTTGGCTCTGACGTCACGCTGCATGAACAGCACGCTTCGCCCACGGTGGAGCAGGCACGACTGCTGACGGCCGGCTTCTGATGGAACGTTTCAAGGGTGAGGAGCTCCAGGGAGTGTCTATCATGGCGTAGAACACACGGTTCCCACATCCTTATTAGAATAGAAGGCACATAAATACCTTTCAAGGAAATCTGTTGTGACTGGCGAGGCTTCAGGCACCAGTCCCTCGGGTGATCCAGATAGAAACCCCAAAGCCAAAAGCTCTGCACGCTCCCAGCTCACCTCCAGCAGGAGGGACACAGGGGCTTGCTTGGGGTCGCCAAACAGGCTCACCGGGTGGTCTTGCCCCCACCGCGTCTCTAGCCTGAGGCCCGGTCACTCCTGGAAAGGGCGTTCCTTCTCGTCACACTGTTGGTGGCAGCTTCATCCAGCGTGCTTTCATCTGATCCTCTGAGGGGGGAGGGCAGACAGAACTTTCCACAACATGAGAAAAGGCAATCTTCACATCAGAGGAGAGCCTGTCTCCAGTGTACAACGTTTCGTCTCCAGGCTTCACGTAAACAAGCCAGAAAAAACGGCCTGGCTCCTCCCAAGTGACCTGGAATTCCAACTGTCCATACCTTTCCCTGAGTCCCTAGAAATGCAGCCACGCTGGGAGCCGACCCCCCTCAGGGTGTCTGCAGGCCCGGGCCTGGCTAGAGGCTCCAGGGCCACTCCAGTGTGTGACTGGAGAGGTGGTGTACCCGAGGCGAGGGGCCCAGGGGGCAGGGGAGGGGACAGGGGGTGCACCTGGGTACCAACGCAGGTCCAGGAAATTTCGCCAGGCAGGGACCCTCCGTCAGCGCCGCTTCTCCAGCAGCATTTTTCCTTTTACTCTTTTTATTTTATTTTTTAAATTTTTTATTATTATTATTTTTAAGATGGAGTCTTGCTCTGTCGCCCAGGCTGGAGTGCAGTCGCGCGATCTTGGCTCACTGCAACCTCCGCCTCCCGGGTTCAAGAGATTCTACTGCCTCAGCCTCCTGAGTAGCTGGGATTACAGGCGCACGCCGCCACATCCGGCTAATTTTTGTATTTTTAGCAGAGACGGGGGGTTTCTCCATGTTGTCCAGACTGATCTCGAACTCCTGGCCTCACGTGATCCACCCTCCTCGGCCTCCCAAAGTGCTGGGATTACAGGTGTGAGCCACTGCACCCGGCCAGTTTTAAATTTTTTTAAAGCAAAGGAGTCTCACTATGTTGCCCAGGCTGCTTAAACCCCTCGCTTCAACTGACCCTCCAGCCTTGGCTTCCCAAAGTGCTGGGATTACAGGCATGAGCCACTGTGCCCAGCCCTCCCATAGCATTTGGCCAAGGCTTTGCACCTAGAGGTGTCTAATATGTTTGCTGATTTGATTTCGTTGGATGCAGATCAGCCTAATGATGCGAGGCTGTTGGTGGCCCAGCTCTCCTCTGCCCCTGCAAAGAGCTGCTGGCCAGTCTTGGTTCTGTCCTCATTCAGGCCTTTAGTGACCACCTGCAGGGTTTTACCAGCATTATGGGTTGACTCATGTGTCTCCTTAATTAACGTTGAAGTCCTAGCCCTCAAGACCTCAGAATGTGACCGTTGTTTGGAAACAGGATGCTTGCAGATGTCACTGGTTAAGATGAGGCAATACCCAACTATAACTGGTGTCCTTATACAAGGGGGTGATGTGAACAGTGACAAAGGCTGGGAGAACACCATGGAGATGAAGGCCGAGATCGTGGCGATGCTGCTAGGGCCAAGGACACCAGGATTGCTGGCGGCACCAGAAGCTGGGGAGAGGCTTGCGACAGACGCTCCTCAGAGCCTCAGGAGGAACCTGCCCTGCTGAAACCCGGATCCCAGATTTCAGCCTCCAGAGCTCTGGGACGGACCGTCTTTTTTTTTTTTTTTTTTTTGAGACGGAGTCTTGCTCCATCCCCAGGCTGTAGTGCAGTGGTGTGATGTCAGTTCACTGCAACCTCCACCTCCTGGGTTCAAGCAATTCTCCTGCCTCAGCCTCCCGAGTAGCTGGGACTAGAGGCGCCTGCCACCACACCCAGCTAATTTTTGTATTTTTTTTTCCCGAGACAGAGTCTCGCTCTGTCGCCCAGGCTGGAGTGCAGTGGCGCGATCTTGGCTCACTGCAAGCTCTGCCTCCCAGGTTCACGCCATTCTCCTGCCTCAGCCTCCCAAGTAGCTGGGACTATAGGCGCCTGCCACCATGCCCAGAAAATTTTTTGTATTTTTTAGTAGAGATGGGGTTTCACCGTGTTAGCCAGATGGTCTCGATCTCCTGACCTCGTGATCCACCTGCCTTGGCCTCCCAAAGTGTTGGGATTACAGGCGTAAGCCAACGCGCTTGGCCTTTTTTTTTGAGATGGAGTCTTGCTCTGTCACCCAGGCTGGAGTGCAGTGGCACGATCTCGGCTCACTGCAAGCTCCACCTCCCGGGTTCACGCCATTCTCCTGCTTCAGCCTCCTGAGTAGCTGGGACTACAGGCGCCCGCCACCACGCCCGGCTAATTTTTTTTTTTTTTTTTTGTATTTTTAGTAGAGACGGGGTTTCACTGTGTTAGCCAGGATGGTCTCAATCTCCTGACCTCGTGATCCACCCGCCTCGGCTTCTCAAAGTGCTGGGATTACAGGCATGAGCCACCGTGCCCGGCCTAATTTTTGTATTTTTTAGTAGAGAAGGGGTTTCACCTTGTTGGTCAGGCTGGTCTCGAACACCTGACCTCAGGTGATCCACCTGCCTCGGCCTCCCAAAGTGCTGGGATTACAGGGTTGAGCCACCACGCCTGGCCAACCATCTGTTTTTTAAGCCACTCAGTCTGTGGTCTGTGAAGACAGCCCCGGCAGACTCATCCATCCAGCTTCAAGTGCTGCAGTGCTCCTAGCACAATCGATCGCTGTCCCTGACAACAAAGACCTCCCTGGTCAACTCTGTGTCTGTGTCCCATCCCATCCACTTGCTCATGTCCTGTAGTCCAAGCCCTACTTTGGACCTCCACTGGGGCTGTTGCAAAAGTAAAGGCAGCCAGCAATGAAGAGCCTGTTGGAACACGAGTTTTAAAAATTCCCTTGGCTGGGCGCAGTGGCTCACGTCTGTAATCCCAGCACTTTGGGAGGCCGAGGCGGGCGGATCACAAGGCCAGGAGTTTGAGACCAGCCTGGCCAATATGGTGAAACCCCGTCTCTACTAAAAATACAAAAATTAGCCAGACGTGGTGGTGCATGCCCCTGTAGTCCCAGCTACTCGAGAAGGTGAGGCAAAATAATTACTTGAACCCGGGACGCAGAGGTTGCAGTGAACCGAGGTTGCGCCAATGTAGTCCAGCTTGGGCGACAGAGTGAGACTCTGACTCAAACAAACAAACAAAAAAATTCCCTTGGCTGTGCTTCTAGAGGTAAGATCACAGGGGCCGGGGCAGAGAGAGCACACCACCCAGGGTGTGATGGTCCCTGAACGTGGAGAGCAAACTGGACACCACCTTAAGTGTGAGTATGTGTGTCAAACCTGGAATGCAGAGACACTATGCAGGGTGAACCCATGAGTGTGTAGGGAATACCCTGTCCCCTGCAGGTGTGTGAGGCAGGGGAGCCAGGCACGTGGAGGAAAAGTCGCAGGACTGACTGAGCAGGAGCCTGAGGCACTGAGATCCCAGCCAAGGATGCCTGCGGGGTTTCTGAGCAGGAAGCAGCACCATCAGAGTCATTTTTTTTTTTTTTTTTTTTTTTTTTGAGACAGAGTCTTGCTCTGTCGCCCAGGCTGGAGTGCAGTGGCACGATCTCGGCTCACTGCAACCTCCGCCTCCCGGGTTCACGCCATTCTCCTGCCCCAGCCTCCCAAGTAGCTGGGACTATAGGCGCCCGCCATCACGCCCGGCTAATTTTTTGTATATTTAGTAGAGACGGGGTTTCACCGTGTTAGCCAGGATGGTCTCGATCTCCTGACCTCATGATCCGCCTGCCTAGGCCATCAGAGTAGTTTTGGGAAAACCACTGAGAGTGAGGCAAGCCACGCTGGAAGGTGAAAACTGACAGGTAGGGAGATGGAGGGGCTAAGGCCTGTTTCACCACAGCACGGTGGACCTGTGCTTCTGCAGATGTGGAGGGGGTGGCCGCCCCTCACTTTCCAGGAGGTAGAGAGCAAAAGCCCTTCCAATGACCTTGGTACCTACTGTGCCCTTGATCTCGCGTTCCTAGCTATCTCATGGGTTCTGCACCGGTGCCTCCTCCTGCCCTCGGTAAGGCACCTTCTAGGTCCAGCTGTGGGGCAGGGAGCGACAGGCAGGAATGATCTGACCCCTTTGGCCGGGCACGGTGACAGATGGGCTGAAAGATGAGTCACTAAACATGATCTGGGGTGCGGGGCGGGGGTGCAGCTCAGTTTCAGCCCCTCGCGCCGGGGAGGATGACCGTGCAGCTTTATATAGCCCCTGAGCCCTATATAAGCAAGTCAGAGGCCGGGGCTCGTCCGACAGGAGCCCTCAAGCTGATCTGGTCGGGACCGGATACATTATTAACCCCAGTGCAGTAGGGTCCCCAGGGGCAACCTGCCCCACAGCGCCCAAGATGCCTAGCAGAACTGCCCGCTATGCCCGCTACAGCCCACGGCAGCGGCGGCGGCGGATGCTGGCTGATCGCAGCGTGCGTTTCCCTAATGATGTCCTGTTCTTGGACCACATCCGGCAGGGTGACCTGGAGCAGGTGGGGCGCTTCATCCGGACTCGGAAAGTCTCCCTGGCCACCATCCACCCCTCAGGTGAGCAAAGCCTGGAAGAGCTGGCCAGGGCCTGTGGGGTGGTGGGAGAGGCCAGCAAGGAGGACCTGACCTGGGGCTCAGTCTTGACCCCTCCCGTCCTCCCTGCCCAGGCCTGGCCGCCTTGCATGAAGCCGTGCTCTCTGGAAACCTGGAATGCGTGAAGCTGCTGGTCAAATACGGGGCTGACATTCACCAGCGAGATGAGGCGGGCTGGACACCCCTGCACATTGCCTGCAGCGATGGGTACCCTGACATAGCCAGGTGAGGGGGCCCTGGGTCTACACAGGCTTGAACCCGACCCCTCCGGGCCTCAGTGGGTCCCCAGGATGGGAGCCCCAAAATGTAGCCCGGGTGGTGTCGGCAAGAACCCTAGAGGCTGGGGGCGGTGGCTCACGCCTGCGCCTGTAATCCCAGCACTTTGGGAGGCCGAGGTGGGCGGATCACCTGAGGTCAGGAGTTCGTGACAAGAACCCTCTCACTACTAAAAATACAAAATTAGCCACGCGTGGTGGCGCGCGCCTGTAATCCCAGCTACTCAAGGCTGAGGCAGGAGAATCACTTGAACCCGGGAAGTGGAGGTTGCCGTGAGTCGAGATCATGCCATTGCACTCCAGCCTGGGTGATAAGAGCGAAATTCTGTCTCAAAAAACAAAAAAAACAAAAAAAGAACCCTGCAAACCCTAGAGGCTTCTGGAATCCTGTTTCTGCCTTTGTCCTCAATAGAACCAACTTGAAAAGCTGGCCACAGCTTCCAAAGGGTCAGGTTTCTTCCTCCTCACCCTACCCGGACCTTAGGACCCCAAGGTGGGGGACACACAGGTGACCCCAGGACTCTGGCCCTCTGACCCGGGTTGGGGCGAGCACTCTCCTGGCTCCTCCCCGCTTCAGCCAGAGCGACCTTTACACCCCAGGTACCTTATCTCCCTGGGAGCGGACAGGGATGCAACCAACGACGATGGCGACCTGCCCTCCGACCTCATCGACCCGGACTACAAGGAGCTGGTGGAGCTCTTCAAAGGGACCACGATGGACTGAGCCAGCTTTGCCCGCCCGCCCCCGCGCCCAGGGCCGCCTCCCTGGAGAAGCCGCGCGTCGCCCATGGGCCAGCACGTGCCCCACCCGTGGGCCAGGGGCGGCCGGACCCGTCCCTCCACGACCCCGCCACCCCTCCTAGGCCTGGCTTTGTCCCCAGGTGAATTTTTTACTGTGACACTTTTTACTTTTTCAATAAACGTGACTCCCAGGTGAGGGGGCCTGGGTCTACACACGTGGTCCCTGTGGTGGTGTCCTGATTACTGGGCTCTGGCCGCTCCCAGTGGCCGGCGGCGCTCACCGTTCGGGCCAGGGAGGTCCGGAGCTTCCGCCACGAGCCCCAACCCCGCACGGGAATCCCGGCCGCCCCCGCCCTCCGCCAGCCGGGCGGTCACGTGAGAGCGCGCTGCGCCTGCGCCTGTGCAGCCCGCGGTGGCGTCACTTCCGGCGGGGCCTCCCAGCTGGAAGAGGCGGTGGCGGCGGGTCGGGGCGAGGTGAGGCGGGTGCGGCGCCGGGCGGCGGGGACGGGGCGGGGCGGGGCGGGCGCGGCTGGGCCCCGCCCTGGTGTCGCCGCGCGGCCGCGGGTGCCCTGCAGGGCCGGGCGGGGCCGGGCGCGGGGGAGTGGCCGGGCAGCCGGGGTCCGAGGGAGGGGCCCGCGTTCCCCGCCCGGCACCTGCAGGAGGGCGCGGCCCGCGGGGCGCCTGGGAGCGCGCGTGGGGAGGGCGCGGCTCGGACTGAGCGCCTTTCCCGCCCAGGCAGGGGCAGGTGCCGGGGACCCAGCGCCGCCGGACGCTCGCAGCGGGCCAGCCTTCTGCCGCCGTCGGGGCTTTGGGGCTGACAGAGCCCCGCTTTCCCGGTCTCCTGGAGGGACCGTGCCTGAGGATGCCTCCGATTCTCGGAGCGCCGCGGGCCCGGCCGTCCGCATTCTTTTTCTGTCCATTTTTCGGCCTTGCCCTCTTTCCCGTCTCCCCGGGCGGTGATGCTGGGCCTAACGGGGAGAACGGGGCCTCCGCCTGCCTTCTAGGCACTCACTGGGCGGTGGTTGTGACCGCGGGGGCGGGAGCCATACGGGGCACGGGCTGTGCTTCTCTCCCTCCTGCCCCTGGGTAGCCGTCGCAGGAAGGTGGTCTTTCAGCTGGATCCCCAAGGATGAGTAGGATAGTTTTGGGCAGAGAAGACAGCTTGACCAAAGGCCCTGAGGTGTAAACAGGGACCAGTGAGTGGACTTTGGGTGGGATGTGGCGAGAACGTGTAGAGAGGGTGGGAAGTGGGACGTGAAGGAAGAGCCAACAGGGCTGGATTTGGGGCGAGTCAGGGGAGGTTGTGGTTTGAGTGGGATCAGGATGGGGAGGAGGGCGCACACGCTCAGGCTGTTGCTGCCACCACCCAGGGGAGAGGGTGAGGAGGTGGTGCAGCGCTTAGAGGCTTTCCCTGGGCGGTCTTCAAGGGACCACGAGGTGCCAGTGTGGCAGCTGTGACAGCCGTATCCTCGTGCGCCTGCTTGGGCAATAGATCATTTTCTAGCCTCGTTGGCTGAAAAAGACACAGAACACGAAGAGAAAGTGGAGTCTTAGAAACTTTGAATCTCAGAAACTCCGGAGGAGCATGGTGACTAGCGATGGCGTCACTGATTCTAACTCTGGAACCTCACTATTGTCACGTTGCTGGAGTGTTACCTCATGGCCTGTTCTTAGGCATGTGGCTGTGTGGGGGAAAGAATTTGGGACTGGGAGGCCAGAGACTGGGGTTCTGTCCCCTCCCCACCTGGAAGTCTCTAAAGCCCTTGGGTCCCCTGGAGGAGGAAGGTTCTACATAGTTCTACCCAATGCGACTCCCCTCCCTATCTGGAGGGAGGGCCAGTCTCTGAGCAAAGCCACATGGGTATCAGTAGGGAGTGGGTCTTTCAGGGAGTCCAGAAACCTGCTGTAGGGTGCAGGCAGAGTGGAGGCAGACTTTGGGAGGCTCAGGCCAGCTGCAGCATTCGGGCTGAGCCCCAAATGCTGTGGCCCCGGAGGCCCTGGGAGGGGCACCGCTGCTTGGTGGCAGGCTCCTTCAGCGCTGAACTGGAAGTTCTCAGGGTATCTTTCTGGTCCAGCTGTGGGGATGTGGGCAATGTGTGTAAGGGCCCAGCGTGGTGGCTGCCCTGCCCTTAGCCCGACAAGTGTTTGCTGTGGCTGGTGGCAGTCTCTTCTTTCAGTCCCCAGTGCTTTTCTGGGCCTCCACCTTCCTAAGAGTGGGCTGACTCTACATTCCAGTTTACCCAGAAGAGTTGTTTCATTCTTGATAATCAACAGCATCCCTTTCGTTCTTTTTTTTTTTTTTTTTTTTTGAGGGCAGAGAGCAGAGATGGGGCCCTTTTTTGTTTGTTTGTTTGTTGTTTGTTTTGAGATAGAGTCTTGCTCTGTCTCTGTTTCCCAAGCTGGAGTGCAGTGACATGGTCTCTGCTCACTGCAACCTGCGCCTCCTGGGTATAAAGCGATTCTCCTGCCTCAGACTCCTGAGAAGCTGGAATTACAGGTGCATACCACCATGCCTGGCTAATTTTTTTTTTTTTTTTTGAGAGACAGAGTCTTGCTCTGTTGCCCAGGCTGGAGTGCAGTGGCACAATCTCGGCTCACTGTAACCTTTGCTTCCTGGGTTCAAGCGATTCTCCTGCCTTAGCTTCCCAAGTAGCTGGGACTACAGGCATGTGCCACCACGCCCAGCTAATTTTTGTATTTTTTTTTAGTAGAGATGGGGTTTCACTGTATGTTGGCCAGGCTGGTCTCGAACTCCTGACCTCAGATGATCCTTCCACCTTGGCCTCCCAAAGTGCTGGGATTACAGGCATGAGCCACTGCGCCTGGCCTAATTTTTGTATTTTTTTTTTTTAGTAGCAATGGGGTTTTGCCATGTTGCCCAGGCTGGTCTCAAACTCCTGACCTCCTATGATCTGCCCACCTCAGCCTCCCAGAGTGCCAGGATTACAGGCGTGAGTCACCGCACCTGGTCGAGATGGGGCTCTTTCTATGTTGCCCAGGCCAGTCTTGAACTCCTGACCTCCCAAAGTGCTAGGATTACCACCACATCTAGCCCCTTTCTTTTTTCTTTTTTTGAGATGAAGTCTCACTCTTGTCCCCCAAGCTGGAGTGCAATGGCGTGATCTTGGCTCACTGCAACCTCTGCCTCCCGGGTTCAAGCGATTCTCCTGCCGCAGCCTCCTGAGTAGCTGGGATTACAGGCGACTGCCACCACGCCTGGCTACTTTTTGTATTTTTAGTAGAGACGGGGTTTCACCATGCTGGCCAGGCTGGTCTCGAACTCCTGACCTTAGGTGATCTGCCCACCTCAGCCTCCCAACGTGCTGGGATTACAGGCGTGAGCCACCACGCCTGGCCCCAGCCCCTTTCATTCTTAACAGCATCCAGTTGAACCATACAGCACATGCTTGTCCTGTCCATCATCGTATTGGATAAGGAGCCACAGAGACCTCACTGAGCTGCTGGCTTTCCATGGCTGTGCTTCCGTCCCTATTGGAGCAGGCGAGCCTACCTGTGGGCTGCATCACTTTGAATGAGGATGCTGAGGCTCAGAGGAGCTTGCCCGGGGCCCCAGAGCAGGGGAATACCTGCAGCCCAGTAGGCCAGGCCCTGTAGGCTGGACGGCCACGGAAGCAGGCAGTCACGTCCTGCAGAATGCACAGACTTGCAGGTGGCCTGTGCTCTGTGTGGCTGGTGGCAGGTAGTCCTGTGGCAAAGGCTGTTGGGGCAGGAGTGGAGCAGCAGGTGACACCTGGTAAAACAAGTTGGGACTGGACAGTGGGCTTGATGGCAGCAGAGGGCCTGGGTGACACCCTAGTGCTAAGTGACTTGGGGATAGGGTTTCAGGAAGATCATGTAGACATCTGTGTCCACCTGTCCTGATGCTGGGTGTCTGGAACTGGAGGTTGTCCCAGCACTGGGTGGGGTGGGGTGGCGTGGGATGTGGAAGACTTTGAGGGGAAGGGGAGAAAACACCTAAAGACCATGTAGCCTGAGGGGCTCTGGAAGGGTGGTCCTGGGCCAGGAGAGTGTCATCGAGGGTCCTCCCATGTGAGACCCCAGCCATTGTGAGCTGCGCTATATTTTACAGTACATTGAGAAATAAAAACCACCATTGGTTAAATTCTGACGTGTTAGCAATTGTCAGGCGCAGCCCAGTTTCAAAGATGTTAAAATATGAAAACTATGAAAGAAAACTCTCAGAGGCAGTGGGGTGTGGTGTAGCGACTGAGGAGTACGGGGCCGTGGCCGGGACATCGGCATGCTCGGTCTTGATTCTGACAGAAAGAGGGAAGGAAAACGGGACCGAGGCATCGCCTGACCCTCCCTTACTGCTGTCACCCTGGTGGTGGCCCAGGTGGGATGAAGGCAGGGGGCCGGGCTGGATGGGGTCTCGAGACCTCTGAAGTGGGGCTGTCTCTCTGGGCTGAATGGAGCCCCTCCCTCCCACCCTTCACCTGTGGTCGGCCTCGGTCAGGCCGCCACTCCCCTTTACCTGGGCAGCTGAGGTGTCAGTCTCCTGCTGGCTCAGGGGCTGCCACCTCAGGTGGCCGTCTGCCGTGTGCTGGGTCTTTTCCGGCTGCCCCCGGCGCTTCTCTGGGCCTGTGCCATTGTCCCCTGCTCACTCTCACCCACTATGGTCCTGGGTCCCTCCACATCCACCACCTCAGGGACCCCATGCATGGATGTTGTGCCTCAGGGTTCCCTCTGCTTAGCCAGACACCAGCCTGCTGCCCACCAGGCCTGAGCTAGGGCTGAGCTGCCTGCCAGCCACACTTCCTGCCCTCCCCCCTCAGCTGTGTGCCTCACTATGCTAGGCCGCCCCGCTGAGGTTGTTGGAGGCCTTATTGTGGCTCCATGGTGACCTCTTGGTTCAGAGCTTGCTTGACCTCCAGCCCTCTCCGTGGATGGCTCCTTCCTGCCCTCACAGGCACCGTCCTGGCCCCGGCTCCAGTTATGTCCATGCCTCGGCCCTCTGCAGCTTCCTCCCATTCCATGTGTCCCAGGGCCTGTCTGTGGCCCCTCAGGTCCTGCTCTTGTGCTTGGTGTCCGTCTCTGCGTGGGGGCTGTGGTGCCCCCTCTGGCTGCTGATTCCCTTATGGGAATAGGCCAGGTGTGCATTGCTACCCTTCTGCGGTGGCTCTTCCCTTTGGGTAATTACGAGTGAAATTCTCCAGCTGTCCTTGTACGCATCTTGGGTGTGTGTACCTAGGAGCAGAATGGCTGGGTCATAGGTTGTGCACAGATACTTGATTTTTAATGGAAAATTCCTTCTGGGTCAGAATTGGGCACCCAGCTCCTTGGCAGGGCCCCAGGAGGCAGTGAGGCTGAATGAGCTGCAGAACCGTTTATTGTGCTTCCAGGGGGACAGCAGGCCCCTGGCCTCTTGGAACTGCTGGCACATCCAGGAAAGCCTGGGGCTATGTGTGCAGGGTCGGGGGGTGGGGGGGCAGTGTGAGGCCCTGGGGGTCCCTAAG
Organism: Homo sapiens; assembly: GCF_000001405.40. NCBI lineage: Eukaryota > Metazoa > Chordata > Mammalia > Primates > Hominidae > Homo > Homo sapiens. Next base: position 41,727 of record NW_021160021.1, on the reverse strand, counting down.
CTGGAGGAAGAAGTAGGGAGAGGTGGGAAGGGCTCTTCGTGTCTGGGAAGACTTAGAGGACACAGCCTGTGGTATTGAGGGTGTGGGTACATTTCTTTTCCTAACAAGAGGAGGCAAACGAGACTCCTTGTTGACTTAAAAAACTGTATGGGTGCAGCTGGGTGTGGTAGCTCACACCTGTAATCTCAGCACTTTGGGAGGCCGAAGCAGATGGATCACGAGGTCAGGAGATCGAGACCATCCTGACTAACACAGTGAAACCCCATCTCCACTAAAAATAGAAAAAATTAGCTGGGCGTGGTGGCGGGCGCCTATAGTCCCAGCGACTCGAGAGGCTGAGGCAGGAGAATGGCGTCAACCCGGGAGGCGGAGCTTGCAGTGAGCCAAGATCGCGCCACTGCACTCCACCCTGGACGACAGAGCGAGACTCCATCTCAAAAAAAAAAAAAAAAAAAAAATGTATGGGTGCACAATAGGTGTATATATTTATGGGGTTTTAAATTTATTTACTTAGAGACAGAGTCTCCCTCTGTCACCCAGGCTGGAGTGCAGTGGTATGATCATGGCTCACCACAGCCTCCACCTCCCAAGCTCAAGCAATCCTACCACCTCAGCCATCACTCCTGCCAAAGTTTTTATATTTTTGTAGAAATGGGATTTTGCCGGCCGGGCGTGGTGGCTCACGACTGTAATCCCAGCACTTTGGGAGGCCCAGGTGGGTGGATCACAAGGTCAGGAGATCGAGACCATCCTGGCTAACAGGACGAAATCCCGTCTCTACTAATAATACAAAAAATTAGCTGGGCGTGGTGGCGGGCTTCTGTAGTCCCAGCCACTTGGGAGGCTGAGGCGGGAGAATGGCGTGAACCCGGGAGGCGGAGCTTGCAGTGAGCCAAGATGGCGCCACTGCACTCCAGCCTGGGCAGCAGAGCGAGACTCCATCTCAAATAAATAAATAAATAAATAAATAAAAGAAATGGGATTTTGCCATGTTGCCCAGGCTGGTTTTGAACTCTTGGGCTCAAGTGATCTGCCCTCTTTAGCCTCCCAAAGTGTTGGGATTACAGGCCTATTTTAATAGGCCAGCAACCGTACCTGGCTTTTTTTTTTTTTCTTTTAGACGGAGTCTTGCTCTGTCGCCCAAGCTGGAGTGCAGTGGCACGATCTCGGCTCACTGCAACCTCCGCCTCCCAGGTTCAAGCACTTCTCCTGCCTCAGCCTCCTGAGTAGCTGGGACCACAGGTGCCCACCACCACATCCAGCTAATTTTTGTATTTTTAGTAGAGACAGGGTTTCACCATATTGGCCAGGCTGGTCTTGAACTCCTGACCTTGTGATCCACCCGCCTCGGCCTCCCAAAGTGCTGGGATTACAGGCGTGAGCCACCACGCCTGGCCTTTTTTTTTTTTTTTTTTTTGAGATGGAGTCTTGCTCTGTCGCCCAGGCTGGAGTGCGTTGGCGCGATCTTGGCTCACTGCACCTCCACCTCCCGGGTTCAAGCGATTCTCCTGTTTCAGCCTCCCGAGTAGCTGGGATTACGGGTGCCTGCCACCACGCCCAACTAATTTTGTATTTTTAGTAGAGACAGGGTTTCACCATGTTCGCCAGGCTGCTCTCAAACTCCTGACCTCAGCTGATCCACCCGCCTCTGCCTCCCAAAGTGTTGGGATTACAAGCGTGAGCCACCGTGCCTGGGCTTTTTTTTTTTTTTTGACACAGGGTCTTGCTCTGTTGCCTGGGCTGGAGTGCAGTGCCACGATCTTGGCTCCCTGCAGCCTTGACCTCCTGGGCTCAAGCAGTCCTCCCACCCCAGCCTCTGAGTAGCTGGGACTACAAGTGCATGCTGCCACACCAGGTGTGTTCATATGGGTGTGTGCCGCATGTGTGTGGGCAGGTGTGTACAGACAGGTGTGTGCGGGCGGTTGTATGCATGTGTGTGGCAGATGTATTCAGCTAAGGTGTGTGCAGGTAGGTATGTGTGGGCAGGTGTGTGTGTGTGTGTGTGTGTGCACACAAGGCAAAGGGAGCCCCGGAAGGGTAGTTGCTTGGGAGGATGTGGGGCAATCAGTGGGATCTGGGGCAGGAGTGACAACCGAACCCAGCAGGGGGATCCCAGGCCAAAGGTGTGGCTGCATAAAGGCCAAGTGGCCACTGGAGGCAGAGGATGCATGGGGAGAAGAGCCACGGGAGAGGGCAGGCTGGGAGGCAGGTACCCCTAAAGCAGCAGTCGGTCAGTGGTGAGAGCCAGCAGGGGGCGAGGCAGGGGGCTGGCCAGTCTACCTGTTACCTGAGCTCTGCCTTTCTCTGTAACGGGAGCTTCCCAGCAGGCAGCATGTCCCTGTGGGACCCTCAACCCAAACAGGCCTTTCCCTCCGTGCTCTGGTGTTCGTGGGCTGGAGTCCCTGGCAGGAGGACTGGGCAGAGAGACCCCAGAGTCCAAGAAAGGAGAGGTGACTTTGTGAGCAAACTGGGTGCTGCCGTGGGTGGGGAGCCCCTGGCCCTTTTTGGACCTCACTCCTGGCCTGGGATGGGGCACAGAGTTCCAGGGCTGGGAGCTGGTTTTCTGCTCTTTGCTGGTTTTGCCCTTGAGCCGTGGGATTCTTATCACGTGGTGTTTGAGGGCTGGACCATTGACATGAGGCGGAATGAGCCAGAGAGGACTCGAAGCCTCAGTGCTCCTGGCCCTCTGTGAGGGCTGCAGCCGTGTGCCCTGGAGTATCTGCAGCCTTGGGCCTCTGGGTGGGCAGGGGAGTTGCTTGTGCTCAAAGCCCCCTCCTGGGAATCCTGGGACTCCCCTCCCCCAGAACCTGGAGTTGCCCCCTCTGGAGCAGGGCAGGCTGGAGACCAGCCCTGTCAGCTTCCCCACCTTGGGGTTGTGTGTCCTCAGCTGGAGTGGGGACACTGTCCAGCCTGCCAGTGTGAGCGTCTGAGCCTCAAAATAGACTCCATTTTTCCAGAGCCGTGGATTCCCCTGGGCTGGGAGGCCATAAACGGGCGGCAGCCCAGGGTCTTGGTCACCAGGTCAGGCCCAGCAGCTTCCTCCAGGGCCACCCCCTCTGCCCACCAGGGGAGCTGGAGTTTGGTTCCATCTCCAGGGTACTGATGTGGCTCATGCTCTAGGGAACCAGGAAGCTGGACCTGGGTAGGTGCCGGGGAGCTGGGATCACCTTTAGGAAGCTCATCCCCGTTTTACAGAAAGGAAATCAAGGCTCAGCAGAAGCCGTGTGCCCAGCCCTGCACCAGGGAGAGCAGGGTCAGTTAGCTGAGGGGCTGCAGGCCCTCTGCTGCAGTGAGAGGCAGCTGGACATCAGAGATGCTGACGGCCCCACCAGCCCACGTGGGGAGGGGCTCTGGCCACAGTGCTCCCGGTGCTGGGGCTGAGGCCTCCACGTCTGAGCCTGAGACGTGGAGGATCAAGGCCGCTGAGCGGGCTTGATCGCTTCAAGTTGTGTGTGTGTCTGGCTCGTCTGGCCAGCTCTCTGCTACCTCGTAGGGTTGCCTGGAGCCCACTGGCTGCCTGTGGCTGGACCCCAGCCTGTGGGGGACACCCTGGTAGGCAGAGGGACCATGCACTTTGTTCACATCTGAAGGGAGGAGGCAGGTGTGCCCTGCGCCTCCCCCTCCTTCTGTGCTGGAGAGGGTGGCCCTGCGTCCCATGCCTGCGCTGGCTTCTGTTTCAGAGGCTGAGGGGATCTGGCGGTGGAGCGCTAGGATCAGACGCCCCCGCGATGACCAGGTGGGTCTCAGGCAGGTGGGCTGGTCTCCACCGGGGCGGGTTGTGGGCTCCCACCCTGCTGTGTGCCCTGTCTCATGCGCCAGGCTCCCCCAGCTCCCCCGTCTCCAGAGTCGTGTACAACGGCAAGAGGACCAGCAGCCCCCGCTCCCCACCCAGCAGCAGCGAGATCTTCACCCCAGCCCACGAGGAGAACGTCCGCTTCATTTACGAAGGTGGGTGCGCCTGCCACACACAGCTCCTGCCCTGTCCTTGACGGAGTCAGCTCTGCCCCCAGCCCAGGACCCACGCTCCGAGGAACCTCCTGCGGCCCCTGCCCCTGCCCCTCCAGGGCACAGATAGCCCCATCACTGTGTCCACAGCCTTCAGGGCCCAGGCGGGTAGGGGTGGCCGAGGGGACCTTGTGTAGAGAGGAGACCTGGTTCTGATCATGGGGGGAGCCCGGGAGGAGGGGCTGGGGGTGGGCCATGCCACAGATAGAGGCCGCACTGGGAGCCAGTCATCCATGCTAGCAGCACTGGAGGAGTTTGCTGGGGAAAGGGAGGGGCCTTTGAAGACAGACAGGCACGCATCCAGCCATGAACGGGCGTGTTGCAGAAGTGGCCGGGAGGTGGTTGTCTGGGATTAGGGGAGTGTGCCGTGTGCTGGGGCCGGGGAGGTGCGTGGATGAGGTGGGAAAGATAGAGGCCTAGCTGAGGAGGATGCGCTGCCTCCGAGGCGCAGGGAAGCCTGGGGTAGGGTCATAGGGGTCCCTCTGACCACAGTCCTGGTCATCTTGCGGGGAAGGGACAGGCCTGCCAGAGGAGCGGGGACGGGGTCTGCAGGTGAGTGAGGCTGGGGTGGGCAGAGGGCTGTGGGGGAGCATGGAGGACACTTCTGAGGGAGAAGAGGATCTGGGAGGGCAGGAGCTGAGGGCAGGCACTCTCGTGACGTGGATGCCACCCCCTGGGGCAGGGGGCCCTGAGCACACCACTCTCTGCCTCTGCAGCCTGGCAGGGTGTGGAGCGAGACCTGCGAGGCCAGGTGCCGGGTGGCGAGCGGGGCCTGGTGGAGGAGTATGTGGAGAAGGTCCCTAACCCCAGCCTGAAGAGTGAGTGGGGGCTGACCTGGGGGCAGGGCTGGGCCGGCAGGCCGGGCCTCATGGGCAGGAGGGGCCTGTGCCCACCACCTACCGCGTTGTCCCCTGGCAGCCTTCAAGCCCATCGACCTGAGTGACCTGAAGCGCCGGAGCACGCAGGATGCCAAGAAGTCCTAGAGCGCCCGGTGCCCCTCCCCGGCCTCCGGAAGATCAGGGTGCGAGGTGTCGGTTCCCTCCTGTCCTGTGGTCCTGCCCCTGGGATGGGGGTGCCTTGCTCCAGCGGGCTGCAGATCCCAGCACTGGCGTGACTGACGGCTGAGGCCTGCCTCTCCTTCCCAAGCCCCCTTCCTTCATCCTTGGGGGTCTCAGGCTGCCCCCATCATGGGGGTCTGGGCCCTGCCCACCCTCCTGCCCTCCCCCAGCCACCTGGCTGCATTTTTGAAGCTGCCTGGCCCCCAGGGGCCCTGACCTGACCTCTCTCCTCTCCCCTCACCCTCCTGCCCCTGGCCACTGCAGGATCAGGAGGGGAGAAGAAGGAGCCTCTGCTGCCTCCCAGGCTGCTGGGACTGGGCTGGTTTTGTCCTTGAAGTGGTCAGGATACAGGACAAGGGCAGCCCCACCCCATCCAGCCTGGGCTCCCCGCAGACCCTTGCTGCTCCCGTGGCCTGGACACGCTGGGGAGCTTCTCACACCTACCCCTACCGTCCAGCCTGGCCTCTTCCCTGAATCAGCTTCAAGATGGCACCAGCTCTTTGGGCCTAGGATACTGCCGGGCCCCCCAAGGGGGTCCCCAGCAACCAGGCCTGGCCTCCTGGTGTCTGCGGTCACAGTGGCCCCTGGGCAGGGGCACCCAGGCTGACCCTGAGGTGCTGCTGCTGGGTCTGTCTTGGCTCTGGGGTGTGCTGGGAGGGTCACCAGGTCCCTTTTCCTTCCTGTGCCCTCTGAAAGCTAAGTGTCTGTGTGGCTGTGGAGCTCGAGGGTCTGTGAATAAAGGCGGCGGCACTGGGCGTGGCCTCTTGGTGGTCTGTCAGGCCTCTGCCCCTGCGGCACACATGCACAGCCAGCTCCCGGGCAGGGCTGGAAACCCCAGATCATGGCGAAGGCTTCTCAAGCCCAGAAATTCTCAGTCTAAGCCACTGGGCGTGCTCAGGTCTCCTAGGGCAGGTGGTGGCAGGGAGGGCATTCTGGAGGGAGAGGCTGGGCTGCCTGATATCACTACCCTTGTTCTGCCACAGGGGCTGCCCAGGGGGCCGCAGAGGTAGTAGGCACCACCCTGAACCCACCCTCTGGGGCACTGTGGCCCCTCTAGGAGCTGGCTCCTCCCCTGTCCAGAAGAAGGGGGTGCCGCTGGGCCCAGGAGAGAGCCACGTGCACTTGACCTTCAAACCTGCAAGCTGCCCTGGCAGGCCAGACAGGGAGCTCTATTCCTGTTCCTGTTGGAAGCGAAACCAGAATTTATTCCAGGAACACGCTTTCCCAGAAGAGTGGCCCCACAGGCGCCTCCTGGTGGGTGGGCTGGTGCAGGAGATGCTGGCGCAGGGCTGGCCTCCCCGGGGAGGAGGAGCAGGGGAGGGTGTTCCAGTAATAAACCAGCCCAGCTGCCGCCTGGCAGCCAGTGTGCACAGCAGTACCCAGCCCCGAGCCAACTCCCTGTAAACACACGGCCTTACCTGGCCCCCATGGGGCCTGTGAGTCCTTCGAGGAGCGTTTCGAGTGCCCACCAGGCTAGGGTGACCCAGGCTGCCTCCCCCTGTTGAGCCGATGCAGCCTGGGGAACACCACCACGGGGATGAGGGGCGGGCGGCTCACAGCGGTCCTCATGCCATGTGCCTTCCACTCACCGAGCCTCTTGGGGACAAGGCCCTGCCCTGTGCACCTTCTGTACAGTGGTAGCTGCAAGGGCCAGCAGAGGTCCTGCAGTGGGGGGCCCACTCAAACATGGGGTTCCCAGATTCCCAGGAGGAGGAGGGGTGGGCTTGAGCCCTGGCCAGGCCATTGCTACACCGTGGCTGTGAGCAGGTTGGAGTCAGCCTTGGTTTCTTCAGGTGGTGATGACTACATCATGGGTGGCGCAGTGCTTGGTGCTGCTACCCCCACGAGTCACCGTGTGGGTGCACTTGACAAGGTGCTGAGCCTCACACAGCAAGCGCGACCCTCAGCCTTCGGTGGGGAGTCTGGGCTCTGCAGTCTGGGGCCTGGCACACGGCCAGCCTGCCTCAATTTACCCCTCTGGGTTTTCTGGTTTTTGGTGTTTTTGTTTGTTTGTTTGTTTGTTTTTGAGACGGAGTCTTGCTCTGTCACCCAGGCTGGAGTGCAATGGTGTGAGCTTGGCTTACTGCAACCTCCACCTCCTGGGTTCAAGCGATTCTCCTGCCTCAACCTCCCGAGTAGCTGAGACTACAGGCGAGCGCCACCATGCCCGGCTGACTTTTTGTATTTTTAGTAGAGACAGGGTTTCACCGTGTTAGCCATTCTCCTGACCTTGTGATCCACCCTCCTCGGCCTCCCAAAGTGCTGGGATTACAGGCGTAAGCCACCGTGCCCAGCCTTTGGGTTCTTTTTTTTTTTTAAGCAAATTTATTAAAGAAAAGGGGCCAGGTGCGGTGGTTCACGCCTGTAATTCCAGCACTTTGGGAGGCTGAGGCGGGCGGATCACAAGGTCAGGAGTTTGAGACCAACCTGGCCAATATGGTGAAACCCCATTTCTACTAAAAATAGAAAAGTTAGAGCCGGGTGCGGTGGTTCACGCCTGTGATTCCATCGCTTTGGGAGGCTGAGGCGGGTGGATCACAAGGTCAGGAGATTGAGACTATCCTGGCTAACACGGTGAAACCCCGTCTCTACTAAAAACATAAAAATTAGCTGGGTGTGGTGGCAGGCACCTATAATCCCAGCTACTCGGGAAGCTGAGGCAGGAGAATCACTTGAACCCGGGAGGCGGAGGTTGCAGTGAGCTGAGATTGCGCCACTGCACTCCGTCCTGGGCAACAGAGCAAGACTCCGTCTCAAAAAAAAAAAAAAAAAAAAGAAAAAGAAAAAAATAAATAAAAGAATGGCTACTCTACAGGCAAAGCAGTAGTTTATCCCTCTGTACAGAGTGTGGGCTGTGGTGATCCAAAGGCCTCTCCCCTGCATGGGTGCTGGGACCCCTGTGTAGCACACAGGAGGTGCCGAGGGAGCTCCTTGTGTTAAGAGATGGACCTGATTTGGGCTCACCTGGGTCATCTTACACTGGGCCCTGGAATCCGGGCCTTGCCTACCTACAGCCGGGGGGTGGAGCTCCCCCAGGTATGGCCCCAGCACCTGGGCCTGCCACCAGAAACCTTCAATTTGGAGATCTTTCTGCCAAGAACCCTTCAGAGGAGGGGGCCGGCCTGGCCAGGCACATGCTGGGCAGGAGGGTAGGAGTCTGTGGGGAGCGCTGAGCCCACGGTGTTGCTGGAGGCCCCACCCCTTCACCCGATGCACCGCGTGGGGGATGGGGATTGGGGTGAGGAGGGGGAGGGGATTGGGGTGAGGAGGGGGAGGGGACGCGGGAGAGGGGGCCTAACCTACCTGAGGGCTGGGGAGGTGCACCCACCGGGACCGGACCTCTGACCCTGAAGCAAACTTGCCCTCCCATCCCCTCTTCGGTGGACCACCCAGTGAGGTCAGCTCTGCAGGGGCCACAGGGTGGTCTTACCCCAGCCGTTCGCCTAATGGTGTGAGAACTCACTGTAGTCACAAAGCGGGGTCTCTACTTTCAGCTTGAGGAGCACATAAAGGGCTGCTAGAGTGGGCACCTCTCCCCTGGGCTGCGGGAGCTGACCGTGGGGCCCGATCCCAGAGGGTTGCGGTCCTCCCACCCCAGCCTGTCCTTCAGCCCTGCTGCCACTGCCTTGTCCATGCAGGGCACCAGGGCCCTCCGACCCTCACCCAATCCTGGAGGCTGCTGGACTAAGCAGCTGGAGACACTCCCCTTTCTGCAGTGAGGGCGACTTGGGGAAATGAGGCAACTGCAACTGTTGCGTGTTGTACCGTTGGTGTGCATACACACATCACAATCTGCTGTGTACTGTTGGTGTGCACACACATCACTATCTGCTGTGTAGTGTTGGTGTGCACGCGCATGTCACTATCTGCTGTGTACTGTTGGTGTGCACACACATGTCACTACCTGCTGTGTAGTGTTGGCGTGCACGCGCATGTCACTATCTGCTGTGTAGTGTTGGTGTGCACACACATCACTATCTGCTGTGTAGTGTTGGCGTGCACACATATGTCACTATCTGCTGTGTACTGTTGGCGTGCACACACAAGTCACTATCTGCCGTGTAGTGTTGGCGTGCACACACAAGTCACTATCTGCCGTGTAGTGTTGGCGTGCACACACAAGTCACTATCTGCCGTGTAGTGTTGGCGTGCACACACAAGTCACTATCTGCCGTGTAGTGTTGGCGTGCACACACAAGTCACTATCTGCCGTGTAGTGTTGGCGTGCACACACAAGTCACTATCTGCCGTGTAGTGTTGGCGTGCACACACAAGTCACTATCTGCCGTGTAGTGTTGGCGTGCACACACAAGTCACTATCTGCCGTGTAGTGTTGGCGTGCACACACAAGTCACTATCTGCCGTGTAGTGTTGGCGTGCACACACAAGTCACTATCTGCCGTGTAGTGTTGGCGTGCACACACAAGTCACTATGCTGTGTAGTGGCGTGCACACACAAGTCACTATCTGCTGTGTAGTGTTGGCGTGCACGCACATGTCACTATCTGCTGTGTAGTGTTGGCGTGCACGCACAAGTCACTATCTGCTGTGTAGTGTTGGCGTGCACGCATATGTCACTATCTGCTGGGTACTGTTGGTGTGCACGCACGTGTCACTATCTGCTGTGTAGTGTTGGCGCGCACGCACAAGTCACTATCTGCTGTGTAGTGTTGGCGTGCACACATATGTCACTATCTGCTGTGTACTGTTGGTGTGCACGCACACATGTCACTCTGGCAACTCCATGGGGCAGGTTTTAGTATCCCAATTTACAAGTGAGGAAACAGTGACCTCTTTCAGGGGGGTTAAGCTCTTATGAAAATTGTAATTAATACTTATTGAGCATGAACAATTTCCTAATAGCCGATATACCCAGCTCCCATTTCCCAAATGACTAAATTAATAGGTTCCTGGTGGGTTGCTGGCAGCATGGGAAGGCGGCGCCCATGTGTCCCGAGCCTCCATCCGTAACATGCCCCTCTTTTTCCACCATTCGTGTAAGGACCCCTGGCGTTTGACAGTCGTGTACCCCACATTCTGCCTTTGGCCAGCTGCATCTCTGTGGTGTCAACAGACCCCTGTTTCCCCTGTACTTCTGTAAAATGAGGTGTGGTGCAGAGGCCTCATCGGATTCATAGGAGACTTCGGGTGTCAAAGCATCTGGCTGCTGTGTGGGAATGGGTTGCAGGGTCCGGGGTAGCAGCAGGGGTCCTGTTAGGAGGCTTCTGCAGTGGACAGTGGGAGGAAGAAGCTGGGGACAGGGTGAGCAGCTCGGTGTGGACATCCAGCTGTACATGCCGAGCTGATAGCTGGGTCTAAAGCGTGGATTCAGCAGAGCCCCAGGTCGGGGGAGATAGATGAAGAGTTAGCTGAGCACTGCTGGTTTTTAAAGATTGATCAAGAAGAAATGAGGGTGGTGCCTGGTTCCTGGACACAACAGGGAGAGAAAGAAGAAAAAGGAACAGTGGAGGGCAGGGTCAGAGAAAGAGCAGGCAGGGGAGGACCCGGGGCTGAGTGAGTGCAGGGGGAGGACCCGGGGCTGAGTGAGTGCAGGGGAGGACCCGGGGCTGAGTGAGTGCAGGGGGAGGACCCCGGGCTGAGTGAGTGCAGGGTGTCTGGGGATAGGCTGAGCCAGCTCACGTAGTGGACCTGCAGCCCTAGCCATCTCCCACCCACCTTGCCTAGAGATGACCACTTTGTTTTTTTGTTTTGTTTTGTTTTGTTTGAGGCGGAGTCTCACTCTGTTGCCCAAGCTGGAGTGCAGTGGCGCGATCTCGGCTCACTGCAAGCTGCGCCTCCTGGGTTCACGCCATTCTCCTGCCTCAGCCTCCCGAGTAGCTGGGACTACAGGCGCCCACCACCACGCCTGGCTAATTTTTAGTAGAGATGGGGTTTCTCCTTGTTAGCCAGGATGGTCTCAAACTCCTGGCCTTGTGATCCGCCCGCCTCAGCCTCCCAAAGTGCTGGGATCACAGGCGTGAGCCACCGCGCCCGGCCCCGAGGTGACCACTTTGAACTCTTCACCTCATTCTTTGCATTTTTAAATTTTGCTCTGTATTTTTATTTCTAACGTGAATTATTCTTGATTTTTCCCATTTTGTTCTCTCCCCTACCCCCAGTACATACGTGATATTCCCGTCCACCACCCTCCCTAGATCTTTTTTCTCCCATGATTCTGGTTGCATCAGTGTTGGTGTTTACATTATGATGTCTGTGTTTGTATTCAGAACTGAGTCATGGTAAATTCTGCTTGTTTTGTTCTTTTCTGCCCAAATTTTTCTTTTCTTTGGAATTATTAATTGCCTTCTTTTTTCATTTGCTTGGTTTTTTCTTTCTTTTTTTTTTTTTTTGAGACGGAGTCTTGCTCTGTCACCCAGGGTGGAGTGCAATGGCACCATCTTGGCTCACAGCAGCCTCCGCCTCCCAGGTTCAAGCGATTCTCCTGCCTCAGGCTCCCAAGTAGCTGGGACTACAGGCGCCCGCCACCACGCCCGGCTAATTTTTGTATTTTTAGTAGAGACGAGGTTTCACCATGTTGGCCAGGCTGGTCTCGAACTCCTGACCTCAGGTGATTCGCCCGCCTTGGCCCCCCAAAGTGCTGGGATTACAGGCATGAGCCACTGCACCCAGCCTCATTTGTTTAGTTTTCTATGTACTAGTCACTAATCAAGTCCTGAACTCTCTCCTCTAAATATTAGTGCACTCAATCCCTTTCATCCCCTTGAGGGTGTCTCTGCTGAGCCTTCTGTCTGGCTCAAGGTCCCCTATTCCTGTGACGCACTTCTGACTCTCCTAGATTTGGTCCTTCATGTAGTTCATGTCTTCCTTTTTCCTGGTCTCCACTCTCATTTTAGTAGTATTTTTGTGTCCACAGACACCAGATTCCAGGGTATCAAAGTCATCTTCCTCCCAGCCATGCACACACAGCACCCAACTCTTGCAGATACCCCTTTGGGATGCCGGGCATCACATACCTGCCTGTAATCCCAGCTACTAGGGAGGCTAAGGCAGGAGAATCGCTTGAACCTGGGAGGCGGAGGTTGCGGTGAGCTGAGATCGCGCCATTGAGCTCCAGCCTGGGCAACGAGAGTGAAACTCCGTCTCAAAAAAAAAAAAAAAAAAATTAGCCAGGTGTCGTGGCACACGCCTATAATCCCAGCTACTCAGGAGGCTGAGGCAGAGAATCACATGAACCTGGGAGGTGGAGTTTGCAGTGAGCCAAGATCATGCCACTGCACTCCAACTTGGGCAACAGAGTGAGACTCTATCTCCAAAAAAGAAAAAAAACAGTCCCTCCACCTACCTGCCTGCAGGACTGCCTGGTTAGGGCCAGTGTTTATTGCCTGGGTGAGTCCACCCCCTGCCAGTCCCCAACTCCACCCAACTCCACCAGCCTGCTCCAGTTCCCTTAGGGATGAGGGCGGGACAGAGGTGAAAGAGGACAAGGGCAGAGGGACTCGGGAATGGGGAGGGCTGTCAGGAGGTCCCAGGTGAGGGGCAGTTTCCCCAGGGCAGTCACCAGCCCTGAGCTCAGCTGGCATGAAGGAGAATGTCCACCTCCGTGTGCTGACTCGGAGCAGCCTCGTGCCCACACAGGCACCCGGGCATCCAGGGCTCAGAGGAGAGCCAGGACCTGAGGCCGGAGGGGCGTAGAGCTGGCCTGAAGCCTTAAGGTCTGAGATCACAGGCCTCCAGCAGGTGCAGCTCAGGGGACCGTCTCCTGGCCTTGCCGTCCCAATCACAGCAACCCCAGGGCCCCAGAAGGGTCCAGCCTTGCCTAATCAGCTCACTTCCCTCCCTGCTGCATGCAGGCCCTGTGGTGGGTGGCAGGGTGAGGGCCCCCCCAGGAGGGCCCCAGTGCCTGGCGGGTGAGTAATTCTATTTACCTTTCCTCAGAGGCCTCCTGTCCCCTCATTTGCCCCAATTAGTCCGGCTCTGCCTGAGCGGCTCCAGCCCACGTGGCCCAGGCAGGGGCTGTGAGCACCCCTTCCCCCAGGGCCCAGCAGCACTTCCCAGCAGCTCCTCAGAGCAGGGGCACCTGACTGGCTCCTTCCCCAGCCCATGCACACACCTCAGTAGGTCTCACAGTGCCTGCTGCAGGGACCCCCCGGGGGGCTGACCACAGGCCCCTCACAGCTTCTACCCTGAATTTGTCTCCACCCCCGCTGTGTGGTCCCTGGGCCCTTAGACTCAGGTTGGGCCCCACACAATGGGAGACCCCACCCTGAAGCACCTCCTGTGTCCAGCACGCAGGAGGCAGCTCTTTCCTGGTGCTCCCTGGCTGGCAAGCAGGGCGCCCACCCACCACGAGGTGGCAAGAGGACTGGCGTAGGCTGGACCTCTCTGTGTGGCACGAGGACTGGCGTAGGCCGGACCTCTCTGTGTGGCACGAGGACTGGCGTAGGCCGGACCTCTCTGTGTGGCACGAGGACTGGCGTAGGCCGGACCTCTCTGTGTGGCACGAGGACTGGCGTAGGCCGGACCTCTCTGTGTGGCACGAGGACTGGCGTAGGCCGGACCTCTCTGTGTGGCACGAGGACTGGCGTAGGCCGGACCTCTCTGTGTGGCACGAGGACTGGCGTGTGTGTGGCGCACCCCGGGTCCTGTGCAGAAGTTGGGCAACCTGCCCTCCTCCGTCGCCTGGACCCGCGGCAATGTTCAGGCCCATTTCTTCCCGCTTCAATCTGCTACGTGGCCTGTAAATTGCCCGAGGGGGCTGGAGCTGAGATGAAACGGAGGCCAGGAGGCTCAGAGGAAGGGCGGGCCGATGAGCCAGGTGCCAGTGTCCTCACGGCCTCCAGGGAGAAGACGCCCTCGGGTGAATCCAGTGCTGATGGGGTCGGTCAGGGGACTGTGATGCCTCATGCCGCCTTAGCCACTGTGCCCCTCACGTCTCTGCTGGTGAATGGTGACCCTCTGGTGGCCAAAGCGTCCAGGGGGACTGCCCGCCAGAACCAGGATGGGAAGGTGGCCAGGACCTGCTCAGATGGGCACAGGCTGGCTGCCTTCGGGATCCTCCGGGGTTCCAGTGCCAACTCTGAGTGAACTGGGACAGCAGGGGGACCCTTCAACAGCCCGCACTGGCGCTGACCACCCACCGCTGTTCCATCCCCCACTGCTTCGGCCCCAGCATTTCCAGCCCTGCTTTCCAGGACATGCACGGTGACCACTTGAGCTCTTTATTGTTGGAGGACATTTCCATGCACATGGGACGTGCCGACATACGTGGGGACACTGGCACGCAGTTCACGGCACAGCCCCCACTCCCGCCCTGGACTCCTCTGCTCACCTCTGCACCAGGGACAAGGCAGGTGCAGGGAGAGGAGGCCCAATCTCGCAGACAGCCACACTGGGGGTGGGGGGTAGGTGGGGGCTGCTGTTGGCTCCCCCGCCCCCAGCCTCAGCTGGGCGTCCAGTTCTGGGTTGTCCAGCGACGCCCTCTGGGTGCCAGAGTCCAGCCCTAGCTGGGGTCCCAGCAGGGTTCAGAAGGGGCTCTCAGCCAATCTAGGGAGGCCACCAGCCAAGGGGGTCTCCGCAGATGAATCCTGGCTGCCACCACCCCTCCCAAACTGCAGCTCCTTGCTGGGAGGGCCGTGGCCGGGCGAAGATGAGGCCCTGTGGTTGCTGGTGTTCCGCTCCTCCCATAGCACTTTGCCCAGGCGCCAGCGGTGCCAACGCCGCCGCAGCTCCGACTGCACCTGGGGAGGGGGACGGGGCAGGCCAGTCCTAGGGCCTGCCTGTCCTCTCCACCCCACCGGGACCTGCTGTGGGCCTCATCGGAGATGCCCAGTCTCCGCTCTGAGGGGTGCAGAGCGACACAAGCTCCCTGCTGGGCACAGCTATGCCACCCAGCATCGCCACGGAAAGCAGTCTGCAGACACCTGGGGACCCCCACGGTGGACACCGTAGCGATGGGGCTGAGGCCAACCTGTCCTGGGGGCCTGACACCCAGCGCCATGGCAACTGCACCCAATAAGAGCAGGGGGAGGGAAAGGCTTGGGCCCCACGTGTTCCAACCCCCGGGCAGGGGTGGGGCTGGCATCCCTGTGCCTCTCTCTGCCCCTGACCCCGACGGCCAGTGCTGATGGTCTCAGATGCCCCCACTCCCACCTACCTCCTTGTTGAGGAAGCAGTAGAGGACAGCCACCAGCAGGCCCTGGAGAGACAGGGTGGTCAGGGGTGGCACACTGCGCCCCGGGCGGGGGAGCCGGCGGGCGGGCGGGCACCTGGAAGGAGCTGAGGAAGAGGTCGAAGAAGAGCTTGGCGGAGCGCAGGGTGCCCTGGGCGTGCTCGTCCGTCACGAAGGCGAAGACCACTTCGTGGACGCCCAGCAGAGGGATGAGGGTCAGCGTGGACTTGGCCAGCCTGCAGAGGCAGCGCCTGAGTCACCCACCGCCCCCACCCTCGGCCCGCACCATCCACGTGGAGCTTGGAGTCCCCACCCCCAGCTGCCCTCTGGCCCTGAGGGTCTCCAGGTCTCGAGACGCCAGCTGCCGCGGCACCCACCGGAACTTGTAGTCTGTGTGGTGCATCTGCCGTGCCCGCAGCTTGGCCACGAGCAGCTGAACGATGCGGACGAAGATGAAGAAGTTGATCTGTGTGAGAAGGGTGCGAGTCAGGGGCATCCCGAGCCCCAGGGAACAGCTCTGTGCCCTTGGAAGGCCCCACCTGACCCTCCTGCAGGTGGGCCTGGCAGCAAGATAGGCCCTGGGCCACATAGCCCTGGGGCTGGTGGGCACACAGCCAGGGAGGAACAGCCTGGCTCAGTGTCCAGGGTGCTGGCCAGTGTCCTGGTGTCCTGTCTGGGTGCCGGCTCCCTCCCAGCGCTCTCAGACAGGATGCTGCTGTCTCCTGGGGCAGCCTCAGGACGCCAAGGGAGGAGGGGCCTGGGGTGCGCTCCTGGCTCTTCATTTCCTCACCAGGATGGCCAGGAAGACGGGGAACCGCAGGATCCACCAGAAGCCCATGTTGTCATTGCTGGTCCAGCACCTGCGAGGCCAGGCCACTCACATACTGGGGCACAGCCCCCAGCCCCTCCGCCCCTCAGCACCCCCGTCCCGATTTTGCCAGGATCTAATTCGGGTCTCAGAAAAGGAAGGGAGAAGGTCACAAATGACCCCCTCCCCAGGCACCAGGCTCATCCCCGGCCCCTCCCTGCCTCAGGCCAGAGCGCCGCACCCCAGCCCCCCGGTCCCTCCCCAGGCTGTCCAGCCGCTCATACTCACTGGACGTTCTCGAACAGACACTTGACCACTGCCCAGGGGACGACGAACAGCATGGGGGCACCTGTGGGGGGCAGCAGCTGTGGTCCCAAAGGCTTGGTCAGCCTGCCTTAACCCCCTCTCATGCCAGCCCACTCACCCCAGCCGATGCCCAGGTAGAGGCTGAAGAAGCTCCTCTCGGGGAGGGTGGCCAGGCCCAGCAGGTTGTGCAGGTACAGGCCCTCCACCAGCAGCCAGCAGTAGTTGGCCACGATGCCATATTGCATGAACACCGCGGCCACACGGCAGCCAGCCACCGCCTGGTACAGGTGCAGTGTGAGCGCGGCTACGTGGCCACCTGCCTGGCTGCCCACCCACCCACCTGCCTGGGGCCGCCGAGGGGGGCTCACTCCATCACTGAGCCAGGTGCTGACACTGAGGTCGTCGCCAATTTTCTGGCTGTAGCGGGTCCTGAGCAGCCCATCAATGACCAGCACGGAGCTGGCTTTCAGCACGAAGGACGCAAACAGATTCGCGTGGATGGCATTGCGGGTGCAGTGCAGCTTGCTGTGGGCACAGCCAGTCAGCGCCCGTCCTCCTCCCTGTCCTCTGCGGCCGCCCCGGGCGCTGGCGGAATCCTACCTGAGGCCCCCCAGGATGGCCAAGGCGAGGAGCAGGGCCCCCAGGGACAGGCTGTAGCCCACTGTGTACATCACCTGGAAGCTGCTGTACATCTTGGCCACCTCCTTCTGCGAGTTACAGTGGCCTGTGAGGGCCAGGCAGGGGCCCCCATGCCCGTTCCCATCCAGCCCCACCGCGCCTGCCTGCCGCCCACTGACCTGGACCTCAATCTCCTCGCCATCCATCTGGCACTGGGAGGCATCACGCCAAGGCTGCCCCCGGGGTCCACGCACCCACTGACCGTCGGGCCCGCATCTCTTGAACACGAAGCGGTGTTGCACTGGGGGTGTGGGGGGAGGCTGGGGTCAGCCCCACCCTGGGCCCGCCCCCCCCACAGTTCCTCCCCTCTATGGGTACCTTTGTGGTGCCAAGGCAGGTACCAGGGGCAGGAGATGTTGGCCGTGGTATTGGCGGGGGTGTCCGGCCAGCAGGAATACTTGTCGAAGGTTCTGTTGCACACCAGCTCTGCAGGGTAGGGTAGGGCAGGGCAGAGCAGGGCAGGGCAGGGTGGGAGAAGGGGCTCCCTCAGCAGGCCTCTCTCCTCTCTCTGGAAGCCTGAGCTCGGCCGTCACCTCGCCCAGGACATGGCCTGGGCTGCTCCCTCCCCCACTTGACCTCCACCTCCCCCATCTGACCTCCACCTTCCTCACCTGACCATCCACCTCCCCTGGACCAGCCTCCGCTAGCACGCCCAGCCCAGCCCTGAATTGCAGCTCTGCAGGACACCTTCCCTTGGAGACCCCCCATCTCAAATGTGCCCCAAACCCACACTGGGGTCCCCCATTCTCCGTGACCTTCTCTCAGCACCTCCCTCTCTGGGGGCTGAACCCCAATGCCATTTTCATCCTTCCCAGGTGCATCGCCAAACCTGTGGCTGCCACATCTGCTCCCTCTGCCCAATGGAGGCTGCCACACCTGCCCCCCTCTGCCCAGTGGTGGCTGCCTCCCTCATCCGAACCCAGGCACTGCCTCCCGGGTGAGTCCTCCAGCCCTATCCTCTCCCTGCACCCCAAGTGTCCAGGCCATGATATACACTCTCCACCCGAGCCCTCCCAGGCCCCTGGGTCCCAGCTTCCACGCCCTGGCACTGTCTGCCCACTGAAAACTCCACGGGGCTGTAGGTGGTATTACCCATCTGGGCCTGGGGGCAGCAGCAGCAGCCGGTTCTGGGGCAATGCCACCGTTCTGTTATTTCCTGGCTCTGCGGCCTGAGGCAAGTCCCCAGCTCTGTGGCTCAGTTACCTCGTTACCTCACCTGCCCACGGTGGTGGGGGCCTGAGGAATGACAGGGCCCCTTGGCGGGGTCCTCAAAGGCTGCATAAGCACCCAGGAACCTTCCCATGAAGAGAACTCAGGAAGTGCTGAGGCCAGGCACAGGCTGAAAGGCTCTGGGTGGGGGGCTCACCCGTGGGAGGGGGCAGCAGGCTCAGGTTGTGGTGACACTGGTCACCGTAGAGCTTCCACTTCTCAAACAGGAAGTCCATCACCTGAGCGGAGGGGACCTGTGGCTGGGGGACACATGCACAAGCAACCAGACAGACAGACAGACAGGCAGGCAGACAGACAGGCAGACAGACAGGCAGACAGGCAGGCAGGTAGATGGATAGGCAGATGGACAGACAGGCAGACAGACAGGCAGACAGGCAGACAGACAGGCAGGCAGACGGACAGACAGATAGGCAGGCAGATGGATAGGCAGATGGACAGACGGACAGACAGGCAGACGGACAGGCAGACAGACAGGCAGACGGGCAGACAGGCAGACAGGCAGGCAGACAGGCAGGCAGACGGACAGGCAGACGGACAGGCAGGCAGACAGGCAGGCAGACAGACAGGCAGGCAGGCAGACGGACAGGCAGACGGACAGGCAGGCAGACGGACAGGCAGACAGGCAGACGGACAGACAGGCAGCAGACAGACAGGCAGGCAGGCAGGCCGACAGACAGGCAGGCAGATGGATAGGCAGATGGACAGATGGACAGGCAGACAGACAGGCAGACGGACAGGCAGACAGGCAGGCAGATGGATAGGCAGATGGACAGATGGACAGACAGACGGACAGGCAGACAGACAGGCAGATGGGCAGGCAGACGGGCAGACAGACAGACAGGCAGGCAGACAGGCAGGCAGGCAGGCAGGCAGACAGAGAGCCATCAGTGTGCAGTCCTCACAGGAGGGCCCCTGGGTGCTGAGGGTGCTGTGAGTCCTCACCTGGCAGGCCAGCAGCAGCAGCAACAGCAGCAGGGGTCGCTGTGGCTGGCAGGGGGGCATGCCTCTGGGCAGCTAGCTGCCTCCCACATCTGGCAGGGGCTGCACAGCTGGGGCAATGCAGTCCTGGTGGGTGTGTACGCTCCTCCGAGGGCAGCTGAG
Organism: Homo sapiens; assembly: GCF_000001405.40. Classification (NCBI taxonomy): domain Eukaryota; kingdom Metazoa; phylum Chordata; class Mammalia; order Primates; family Hominidae; genus Homo; species Homo sapiens. The sequence continues at coordinate 22,412 of NW_021160021.1, read as the reverse complement.
TGGCAGAGCAGCAGAGCCTGGGGCGTCCTGGCCAGTGGGGTGTCCTCCCCTGAAGCTGCCCCTCTGAGCCTCAGGGTCCTAGGGATAAAGAGGGAGCTGGGGGCCGGGCGCGGCGGCTCACGCCTGTAATCCCAGAACTTTGGGAGGCCGAGGGGGGTGGATCACGAGGTCTGGAGATCGAGACCATCCTGGCTAACACAGTGAAACCCCGTCTCTACTAAAAATACAAAAAATTAGCCAGGCGTGGTGGCGGGCGTCTGTAGTCCCAGCTACTCGGGAGCTTGAGGCAGGAGAATGGCGTGAACCCGGGAGGCAGAGCTTGCAGTGAGCGGAGATCAAGCCATTGCAGTCCAGCCTGGGTGACAGAGCGAGACTCCGTCTCAAAAAAAAAAAAAAAAAAAAAGAGGGCGATAGGAGGGAGGAGACCCCAGGAGGAGTCACTCTTGCCACCCAGGGCTGGCTGGCTGGCAGCTCTGAGGGTCGCAGAGCCCCTCGTCTCATTGCTGGTGGCAGCCACCTTCCTGCAGGTTGACCCAATGCTCTTGGGTGGGGGACCAGCCTCCCCAGATGGTGACCTCCTCCCTCAGTTGACAGCCCCCGGCTGCTTCCTCACCATCCTCCTCACCTATTCTTAGCCCCTGGGAAAGCTGGCTTGCCAGGCTGACCTGAGCCAATGTGCCAAGCGTGAGGGTGGCGGTGCCTGGACCTTCCATCACTTGGCCCCAGTGCCACAGCGAGCAAAGTGGCTGGGCTGGCTTGCAGCTGTGCCAGGCCAAGTGTGTGGGGCCCACACTCAGGGGTCTGTGTCACATGTGTGCCCCCTGCCCAGCACCGGGGTGCCTAGGTGCCTCGTGGGTGCCGTGCAAGGCTCGGTTGGGCTTCCTGGATCCCATGGGACGCCACAGGCTGGCTGCACAGTCCTTTGAGGTTAGCACTGCGGGCGTCGACTTGGAGGAGGAGCTGGCCTAGGGTGGGGGCACAGGGTGGGGAGGACATCCCCCGTGGTGCCTGCCAGGGCTGTGGGAGTCACAGCCCCTGGTCCCCATGCCACAGCCAGCATCTGAGCTGGGAGTTCGGGGTGGCAACAGCTACACAAATCGGCCTTTCGTTGCTACAGAGCCCAGTTTCTGCACCAACTGAATTCTGTGGGAGAAGCAGGGAGGGTCTTCCTGTGGGTCCACGTGCATGTGCGGGGTCCCGCGAGTGGCTGGCTATGAGCCCCCGGGCTGTTACGGGCTCTTCTTTGGGGCACCCTCAAATGGAATAAGAGGTGTGGATGGATGGCTGGGCAGATGGAGGGCCAGCCAGCTGGAAGGCAGTGCCAGGGGGAAGCCGGGGAGAGGGGCAAGGAGATGGGCGAAGGCTGCAGCTGGAGCAGAGGGTTTCCGGGCAGGCCTGGACTGCTGGCTGCCACGGGACAGCCTGGATTTTAGCCTCCTCCAGGTAGCGGCTGGGTGAGCCCGCGTGGGGCCAGCTCCACCCAGGGCTGCCCCGCTAACGGGGCCTGAGATGCCCCAAGCAGTGTGACAGCTGAATGACAGGGACAGGCACCTGCGTCACAGACTGCTAAAGAGCTCCCAACCGCAGCCCTTGGACCCTGGGCTCATGTAGGGGCCGATGGGAGGCAGGACCCGTGTGTCGCTGATCCCCAGTTCCTGAGCCAGGTGAGCAGCCATGCAGGCTTGGTGCTGGGGCGAAGGACCCACAGAGTAGGGGCCTCTCCCTGGCGGAGACAGCGGCAGGCGGGTGGGGGAGGAGGGGCAGTTTTGGCGTCCCCAGCTCTGGGGTCACGCAAGGGGCCTTATCTTCCCTGATCCTGATCAAACAGCCCCATCTACTGCCACTGTCCTGGGCGGCTCCGGCCACTGAGCCGGGCTGGGTGAGGAGCAGCAGGAGCCGCCTCTCCCCACTGTGTGCACCCCCAACCCAGAGGGGCCCTGGACGAGGGGCACTGCTAGGTGGGCAGGCTCAGGGGTGCAGGGGAGACCTGGGGCTCTGGGCAGGGGACGGGGAGAGGGACAAGGGGCAGCTGGAGCAGGGTGGATGGTGGAGATGCAGGCGGGGGACAAGGAGGAAGGACACTGGCCAATGAGCTGTTCCCTGCCTGGGCGCCTCGAAGTGGGGGTGGGGGGGGACGCGTGCTCACCCTGGGGGGAGGACCACCCAGCCAGGAGCTCCCTGGGCAAAATGACAGCCCCTTAGAGCCCAGCGTGGCCAAGCCTGGCTCTGCCCCAACTCTGCCAGAGAAACAGGAGCCATTCGATGCCTGTCATGTTGACTCTAGAGCCACTGGGAGCACCCCCCAAGCCAGTGCCTCCACACATGAGGTCCTCGCGTGCCAGGGCCCCACCTTCCAGCCGGGCAGCCAGTCTGGAGACCCCAGCGAGCCGAGGGAGGGGTTGGCTGCCCAGTCCCCCAGGCCTTTCTTTGAAACAGTCAGGACCCAGGAGTGGGGCTCTGTGTCCCCTCAGCCTCAACAGAAGGTTGGGAAGGTGGGGCTGGGGATCCTGGAGGATTCCCCCGACAGCTCAGCATCCACAGGCCACAGGTGGGCTCCCCATAGGGCACCCCTAGTCCCGGATCCCTAGGGGTCAGGGCCTCTGAATACAAGAGGTGAGGTGGGAGGCAATTCTCCACTGGGTCTCTGATAGTGAGGCAGGAGGTGCAGAAGTGTGAGCGTCCTCCGTTCCCTGCGGGTGGTGGGTCCCATATGGGTAGGGAGACTCCAGCTCCTCACCCCAACAGGGGTGGGTGGAGCCGGGGGGGGACCAATTTCCAGCTGAGCACCCATGAGAGAGCCTGGCCTGGAGAGCAGGGCTGAGGCTGCTGTGGTCCTGGGACGGGGACGACGATTTAACTTCCCAAGTGGGGACCCTGCCCCATCACTGAAGGTGACACCAGCCTGAAGGGAAGAAGGGAGGCTCCTCTGTTGATCTCACCCAGCCCTCTCCCCCGAGAGGAGACACTGACACCCCCGGGCCCCGGTCAGCCCAGGATCAATGTTTGTTGACTGAAGGAGTGGACAGAAACTCCCAGCTGTGGAGCTGCCACTCGGGGCTCCCCGGGGCCACAGTGCTCCGTATTACCCTTCCGGCGACACAGCTGGTAGGTGGGACGACCCACCAGGGACCCCACCCTCCACCTTCACAGTCCAGGTGACCAAGCTCCTTCTCAGGCCTTGGAGTCAGCTGAGAATTAGGGGAGGGGTTCCCAAGGTGCCCAATAGGGGGGGTTCCCGAGGTGCCCAATGTGGGGGTTCCCGAGGTGCCCAATAGGGGGGTTCCCGAGGTGCCCAATGGGAGGGTTCCCGAGGTGCCCAATGCGGGGGTTCCCGAGGTGCCCAATGTGGGGGGTTCCCGAGGTGCCCAATGGGAGGGTTCCCGAGGTGCCCAATGTGGGGGGTTCCCGAGGTGCCCAATGGGGGGGCTCCCGAGGTGCCCTGCCCGCCTTCTCTAGACCCCCACCGCATGCCACCCCCTTCCTCCCTCCCACAGCTGCCTGCCGGGCCACACCAGCCACCACCAGGGCTTAGGGCCACCTGAGCTCCACTGCCCCGGCCGCTTTGCAGGGCTGGCACCCCGTGTCCTGTCCCATGTCCTCCCTGGCAGAACACGTGACTCTTGGGCGCTCCTGGCTGCGTCAGGCTCCACCGATTCCCACTGGGGGCGGCTGAGGGACCCGCAGACCTGGAGCTGGGCCCCCAGGATGGGTGGAGCGGCCACTGGTCCAGGAAGGCAGCGGGGCTCCCAGGGCGTCCGCAAGGGGCCTCTCAGACGCTTTGAGGAGCTCCGGGATGGGAGCCGGGATGTTTTTGTGAAACCAGAGAAGGTAGTGGAAGGTCAGGGCACCGGGGCGGGATCAGGGGCCACAGGCTGTTGACAAAGCCCTATCCCTGCGCCCTCACCCCGTGGGGGCGGGGCAGGCGTGGGTGCACCCAGACCCCCCAACCCTGATGTCCCCAATACCAAGGGCAGAGAGCAGCCCTGGCCGGTCCTTGGAGGATGCGGGCGCCGAGGGGGCCGGGGTCAGTCGGTTCAGAGTCGGAGCATAAGCCCGGTGGCCGAGTCGGCCGGGTGGTGGGGCGCCGGGGGGGCCGGAGCCGGGCAGGGCAGTGACCCGCTTGCCGGGGTCAAAGTCGCCAGTGTGGGCCGCGGAAGAGGAGCGGCCAGGCGGGGCGCAGACACCCCTCACCCCATCCTGGGCCGCGCCGGTGCCACCGGGCAGTCCTCGGGGCAGGAGCCCACCGAGGGGAGACAGCGCTGGTGAGACCCCGCGCCTCGGGGACGCGTCCGCGGCGCTTTGTGCGCTCCCCAGGGCGGCGGGGCCCGGGGCCCTGAGTGGGGAGTGTGGCCGCTGCAGTGTGGCCGCCGCAGGGCGCCAGGCGGCCAGCGACACCCCCGCCCCCAGCCGCGCCCCCCAGGACCAGAGAACGGGGGAGGGGCTGAGACCCCTGGACCTGCCCGACGGTGCAGGACCGGGTGGTGTCCGAGCCGGGGTTGGGAACGGGGGTGTCTGACGGGACTGAGGAGCGCACCAGCCCGGACCCCGGAGACCGCCCGGCCGGCTCCCCGCTCCCCGCGCCCCCGGCCCCGCCGCGCCCGCCCCGCGGTCTCTGTCCCCACCGGGTCGACTCCCCAACGTCCCCTCGGGGCCGCGGCCCAGGTGCTCACCGCGCGGCGCTGCTCGGGGGTCGGCTTGGCTCCCCGCCGTCCTCTGGGCGCGCTCGGGTCGGGCGCCGGTGACCGCTCGTCTTCGCGGCGCTGCCAGATCGGGGTCGGTGCAAACTTTCCGGCGGCGACGCAGGGCGAGGGCGGCGGCGGAGGGCGGGCTCGGGGGCGGCCCCGCGGGGGTGGGAGCGGCAGCCGAGGGTCCCCGCCCGCCCTCCGCGCAGCCTCCCGGCGAGCTTCGGTCCTGCCCACCCTGCGCAGGGAGCGCCTCGTACCCCGGCCATACGCAGACTCGGCGCGCTGAATTCCACCCCGCGGACCCGCGCCCCACAGACCTTTGTCCCACGGGTCCTGGTTCCGCAGACCCTAATCCTGCAGACCCCTGAGCCCGCGGACCCTGGCCCAGCAGGTGGTGGTCGCGGTGGGTCCCAGCTCCGGGAGGGGACGCCCTGGGACGCGGAGGGGCGCGCGGGCGTGGGGGCCGTGGCTCAGCCCCCCTTCCTCTCGCTCCCTCCGCCTCCCTGGGCGCCCCCTCGCCCCCTTCCTCTCGCGTCCCCGGGTTCTCGCCCCTTCTTTCCTGATGCCTGCCTGATTTTCTGGAAAGACCGACACCCCCAGTCGCCCCCACCGCGGCTCCCGGTTCCTTCCCCTGCAGAGCAGACGGGGGCTGGAGTAGGGGCCAACATGGGTGACATGGGTGGACCGGCAGGGCGGTCCCTGGGGTGCCCTTTAACTCTTTCTGTGCCACATCCCCGGTCTCTGGCCAGTCCTGTCGCGCTAAGGCCCCTCCAGCAGCGCTGACCCTGGTCCCCCACCTGCTGGTCCTGCGGCCGCGGGGCGCTCTCTCCTCCGTCCCACCCGCTCCTTCCACACCACCTCCTTTCCTGGGAGTGGAGAAGCCCCAGCCAGAACCCCTGCCTTCCCCAAGAGGCACGCTCAGAGGGACATTCTCCCCTTCCTCACTCCCCCTAGAGCCACATCACACCTGGCTTTGGGGCCCTAGAACCTCAGCCCGCGCCCCTCCCCTTCCACCCCCAGCCATCCCTGCTCTGTGCCCAGTGATCTTGGGGTCACCACAACCCCATGGCGCCTTGAGGCCTCACCTTTCCTGGCCTCTCAGCATCCTGGGACACTGATGGTCATGCCTTCCTTCTAGAAAGTTCTCTCCGAGGCTGTGGCTTCCAGGATGAGCACTCTCCTCCTCCCACTTCCTCCCCTTCTCCTTCCCCCTCCTCCCTTCTCCCTGGAGAGGTCTTCCTCCAAGTCCCAGTCTTCTTCCCCACCCAGAGCCCCTCCCGCTGACACTTGTCTGCAGTGCCTGTCTCCGCTCCCGCTAGGAAGCCTCCCCTCCGGCATCTCCAATCCATCTCTGGGTCCTGCTCCACCTGCATTTCCCTAGACCTGTCCTGGCCACCCTCACCCTGGGACACCTCCTGCCCGTGGAGAGCTCCTCTGATAGGTGCCGTCCTTGGTCTTGGGGGTCCTTTCTCCCTAATTCTACTTCTGTTTTGGGGGCGTGGGAACCCAGGGTCTTAACCCCAGCCATTCCCCCTCCCAGGGGCCACTTCCCTCTGAAGCTTAGCCCAGCTCTGTGACCCCCACAGGCCTGCCCCCACCTGGTCCTCACTCCCCTGCATAGCCACACTGTGGGGGCTCCATGCTTCCCAGCCCATAGGAAGCCCTGTTCCCAGAGGGGGCCATTCTGTTTTAGTTGGAGCAGTGGCCAGAGGCAAAGGTCAGAAGGCAAAGGTCATAAAAGTTTGTCTCTACCTGCCAGCATCTGCTCCTGCTACTGCATCTTCTCCCCTCTCCACCCAAACCCTCCCTCAGCTCCTGCCCCCACCTCTCCAGAGGCACAGACAACAGGGTTCTGATCTTGGGTCATGGTGCTCCCCCTGCCAGCCTCAGTCCGAGACCTCTGTGAATGGCGGTGATGGCTAATGGGATGAGGGGGACCACCTCCTGGTGGCTGCAGGGACTGGGGTGAGGGTGCTGTAGGCTCTGCCTAAGTCAAGTGCCATGGGGCTGAAGAGACGGCGCACCGGCCCTGGAGAAGAGTCCTCCCTGCCCTCCTGTGTCTGGCCTTGTTTCCTGGAGGACAGGTCCCCACGGGGCAGAGGCCCAGCAGTCCCAGGTAAGCGCTGGGTGGCCGGAGTCTGGTACCTGCAGGAAGAGAAGTAGAAGAATAAATTTGGAGTGTGTGAAGGGGGCAAAGCCTGAAAGGTTCGGACTCAGTGTGGGGAGGGAGAGGGAACAGATGGGGTGGGGCACCTCCCCTGGGCTGGGTGACCCTTATTTATATGACTGAATCCATGACAAGATTGTTTGCTTGACCAAACTGTAGTCCGGCTTCAGAACCTTCTCACAGGCTCATCTGCATTCTGCCTTATAAAATCCAGATTCAGCAAGAACTCTGCTAAGTCAGTTTGGCAAGAAGCCTCCATCCCCCCATATCTGATCAGGGTCCTCAGCCTCCGCCACCCCCAGGCGATGTCTGCTTACCTTGCCTGCCTTCAGCAAGCTTCCTTTTACCTGGGTAGGGTCCTCAGCTTCCACCACCCCCAGGCGACGTCTGCTCACCCTGGCTGCCCGCAGCAAGATTCCTGTTATCTGGGTAGAGTCCTCAGCCTCCGCCACCCCCAGGCGATGTCTGCTCACCTTGCCTGCCTTAAGCAAGATTCCTGTTACCTGGGTAGAGTCCTCAGCCTCTGCTACCCACAGGCAATGTCTGCTCACCCTGCCTGCCTTCAGCAGGCTTCCTTTTACCTGGGTAGGGTCCTCAGTTTCCGCCACCCCCAGGCAATATCTGCTCACCCTGGCTGCCTTCAGCAAGCTTCATTTTACCTTGGTAGGTTCCTTAGCCTCTGCCACCTCCAGGCCGTGTCTGCTAACCCTGTCTGCCGTCAGCAAGCTTCGTTTTACCTGGGTAGGTTCCTTAGCCTCTGCCACCTCCAGGCCGTGTCTGCTAACCCTGTCTGCCGTCAGCAAGCTTCATTTTACCTGGGTAGGGTTCTCAGCCTCCGCCACCCCCAGGCGATGTCTGCTAACCCTGCCTGCCCTCAGCAAGCTTCCTGTTTCCTGGGTTTAGCCAGAATCCTCCAGACAGGTGTTTCGTGCCAGTAATTTTCCACCCACTGACCCCGCCCTGCTCCTCAGATCTAAATCCCCACTTGCCTGTGCCACATTGAGAGTTGAGCCCAGGTCTATACTAAAATCTTTTTTCCCCTATTACAATAGTCCCGAACAAAATATGTGTTTCAACTGCTATCCAGTTCTGGTTTCCCTTGACATTGGTGAGACATATAAACAGAGGGCAGCTGGGAATGGAGGGGGCAGGGCCTTCCCATGCAGCAGTGGGGGTGGGGGGACCTGCCCTCCATCCAGTCCCCAGGGTCCTACTCATTGCAGGGGGCCCTCCTGGAGGTGTGCTTGGTCCTGGGGCGGGCTGCAGCGGGGCTGGGGGCAGGTCTGCACCCCCCACCCCTGAGATGTGGGTTTGTCTATCTGTGCTGGGGATTCTGGAGACGGCACCTGCAGAACTTAATTTCGGTGTCCAGCAAGACTTATGGAGCCCATACTGCCAGCGAGACTCAGAAGCCCCACCCTGGAGTTCTGCAAGGGGCTGATGAGGAGGAGGGATGAAAGCGACAGCCGGAAGCCAAGGCGGAGGGACCAGGGGTGGGAGGGGAGGCTGCATCTGGGCCCAGAAAAACGTGGAAATGCAGGAAGGGAAACAGGAGGGTGGTGGGGCTGCCCCTCGGAGAGACCTTCTGTGAGCATTAAAGGGCATTTTTTTTCCAGGTGTCTTTACTGTGCATTAATACATTTTTACTTTGATATAGTTTTGTAACCAGCGTTTCTCACCACAACCTATAACACAAGCATTTCCTCACATTAATAAGAAGGCCCCTCCACATCACTACCCAGGGGCACTTAGTATTTGAGGGTGTGGGATGGTCAGGTTTTACTCAACCACTGCAGGACTAAGAAAGGCACAAACCTTACGACAAAGCGAATGGACCTCCGCACTGCATCCTAGCGCCTTTTGCCCTTAGATGTGAATGCAAAGCAAGACCTCTAGGTATATGAGACAGACCAATCACTTGGGAAAGAGGAAACTGGAGGAAACAGAGCTACTGCAGGGAACAGAAGAAAACTTCAAGAACATTTTAACCACTCTGATTATCCTTAGAGACATGAAAGGATGATGCTCCCATAAAAACTAGAACGGAATGCTTTGGAAAACAAGCAGAGCGCAGGAAGAGTCCTTGCCGGCTGCAAATAGAATATCTGGAATTTAAAAAATTTAATAGAAGGGTTGGAAAATTGAGTTGAAGAAATCTCTCAGAAGAAACAACAAAAAGGCTGGGTGTGGTGGCTCATGCCTGTAATCTCAGCACTTTGGGAGGCCAAGGCGGGCTGATCACCTGAGGTCGGGAGTTTGAGATCAGCCCGACCAACACGGAGAAACCCTGTCTCTACTAAAAATACAAAATTCGCCAGGCATGGTAGCACATGCCTGTAATCCCAGCTACTTGGGAGGCTGAGGCAGGCAAATTGCTTGAACCCAGGAGGCGAAGGTTGCAGTGAGCCAAGGTTGTGCCATTGCACTCCAGCCTGGGCAACAAGAATGAAACTCCATCTCAAAAAAAAAAAAAGAAAAGAAAAAGAAGAAGAAAAAGAAAAGAAACAACAAAAATCCAAGAGGAATAAAAGATAACAGAGCATGGAGGGTTCACTAGAAGGTTGAGGCTGGGCGCAGTGGCTCACGCCTGTAATCCCAACACTTTTGGAGGCCGAGGCCAGTGGATCACTTGAGGTCAGGAGTTCGAGACCAGCCTGGTCAACATGGTGAAACCCCATCTCTACTAAAAAATACAAAAATTAACTGGGCGTGGTGGTGGGCTCCTGTAGTCCCAGCTACTTGGGAGGCTGAGACACAAGAATCACTTGAACCATAGGAGTGCTGAGCAATTTGACTTCTGAATTATTGCTCCTGGGGAGCTTAGAGTAAGTGGGGGATTGGGAACAGGGAGAATGTGAGGGCTATTTTCTAAAGCATATTAGCAGTGTCTCGTTTTCACTGAGAACACCCAATTAGGAGGGCCAAGTAAGAATCAAAAAATTCCCGGGTAAGATACTTTTACCAAGAGTCTCTTCAAAACAAATGCTAATTGTTCCTTTAAAATTAACAGAAAGGAGCTCTCCCTCTCCCTCTCCCTCTCCCTCTCCCTCTCCCTCTCCCTCTCCCTCCCCTCCCCCTCCCCCTCCCCCTCCCCTCCCCCTCCCTCTCCCTCCACGGTCTCCCTCTGATGCCGAGCCAAGGCTGGACGGTACTGCTGCCATCTTGGCTCACTGCAACCTCCCTGCCTGATTCTCCTGCCTCAGCCTGCCGAGTTCCTGCGATTGCAGGCGCGCACCGCCACGCCTGACTGGTTTTCGTTTTTTTTTGGTGGAGACGGGGTTTCGCTGTGTTGGCCGGGCTGGTCTCCAGCTCCTAGCCGCGAGTGATCCGCCAGCCTCGGCCTCCCGAGGTGCCGGGATTGCAGATGGAGTCTCGTTCACTCAGTGCTCAATGGTGCCCAGGCTGGAGTGCAGTGGTGTGATCTCGGCTCGCTGCAACCACCTCCCAGCCGCCTGCCTTGGCCTCCCAGAGAGCCGAGATTGCAGCCTCTGCCCGGCCGCCACCCCGTCTGGGAAGTGAGGAGCGTCTCTGCTTGGCCACCCATCGTCTGGGATGTGAGGAGCCCCTCTGCCTGGCTGCCCAGTCTGGAAAGTGAGGAGCGTCTCCGCCCGGCCGCCATCCCATCTGGGAAGCGAGGAGCGCCTCTTCCCCGCCGCCATCCCATCTAGGAAGTGAGGAGCGTCTCTGCCCGGCCGCCCATCGTCTGAGATGTGGGGAGCACCTCTGCCCCGCCGCCCTGTCTGGGATGTGAGGAGCGCCTCTGCCTGGGCCGCAGCCCTGTCTGGGAGGTGGGGAGCGTCTCTGCCCGGCCGCTCCGTCTGAGAAGTGAGGAAACCCTCTGCCCCGCAGCCGCCCCGTCTGAGAAGTGAGGAGCCCCTCCGTCCGGCAACCACCCCGTCTGGGAAGTGAGGAGCGTCTCCGCCCAGCAGCCGCCCCGTCCGGGAGGGAGGTGGGGGGGGTCAGCCCCCCGCCCGGCCAGCCGCCCCGTCCGGGAGGTGAGGGGCTCCTCTGCCCGGCCGCCCCTACTGGGAAGTGAGGAGCCCCTCTGCCTGGCCAGTCGCCCCGTCCAGGAGGGAGGTGGGGGGGGTCAGCCCCCCGCCCGGCCAGCCGCCCAGTCCGGGAGGGAGGTGGGGGGTCAGCCCCCCGCCCGGCCAGCCGCCCCGTCTGGGAGGGAGGTGGGGGGATCAGCCCCCCGCCTGGCCAGCCGCCCCATCCGGGAGGTGAGGGGCGCCTCTGCCCGGCTGCCCCTACTGGGAAGTGAGGAGCCCCTCTGCCCGGCCAGCCGCCCCGCCCGGGAGGGAGGTGGGGGGGTCATCCCCCCACCTGGCCAGCCGCCCCATCCGGGAGGGAGGTCGGGGGGTCAGCCCCCCGCCCGGCCAGCCGCCCCGTCCGGGAGGGAGGTGGGGGGGGTCAGCCCCCCGCCTGGCCAGCTGCCCCGTCCGGGAGGGAGGTGGGGGGATCAGCGCCCCGCCTGGCCAGTCGCCCCGTCCGGGAGGTGAGGGGCGCCTCTGCCCGGCTGCCCCTACTGGAAAGTGAGGAGCCCCTCTGCCCGGCCAGCCGCCCAGTCCGGGAGGGAGGCGGGGGGGGGCGGTCGGCCAGCCGCCCCGTCCGGGAGGGAGGTGGGGGGGGTCAGCCCCCCTTCCGGCCGGCCGCCCCGTCCGGGAGGTGAGGGGCGCCTCTGCCCAGCCGCCCCTACTGGGAAGTGAGGACCCCTCTGCCCGGCCAGCCGCCCCGTCCGGGAGGGAGGTGGGGGGGACAGCCCCCCGCCCAGCCAGCCGCCCTATCCAGGAGGTGAGGGGCGCCTCTGCCCGGCCGTCCCTACTGGGAAGTGAGGAGCCCCTCTGCCTGGCCAGCCGCCCCGTCCGGGAGGGTGGTGGGGGGGTCAGCCCCCCGCCCGGCCAGCCGCCCCATCCGGGAGGTGAGGGGCGCTTCTGCCCGGCCGCCCCTACTGGGAAGTGAGGAGCCCCTCTGCCCGGCCACGACCCCGTCTGGGAGGTGTGCCCAGCGGCTCATTGGGGATGGGCCATGATGACAATGGCGGTTTTGTGGAATAGAAAGGCGGGAAGGGTGGGGAAAAAATTGAGAAATCGGATGGTTGCCGGGTCTGTGTGGATAGAAGTAGACATGGGAGACTTTTCATTTTGTTCTGTACTAAGAAAAATTCTTCTGCCTTGGGATCCTGTTGATCTGTGACCTTATCCCCAACCCTGTGCTCTCTGAAACATGTGCTGTGTCCACTCAGGGTTAAATGGATTAAGGGCGGTGCAAGATGTGCTTTGTTAAACAGATGCTTGAAGGCAGCATGCTCGTTAGGAGTCATCAGCACTCCCTAATCTTAAGTACCCAGGGACACAAACACTGCGGAAGGCCAAGGCCGCAGGGTCCTCTGCCTAGGAAAACCAGAGACCTTTGTTCACTTGTTTATCTGCTGACCTTCCCTCCACTATTGTCCTATGACCCTGCCAAATCCCCCTCTGCGAGAAACACCCAAGAATGATCAATAAAAAAAAATAAATAAATTTAAAAAAAAAAAAAAGAATCACTTGAACCTGGGAGGTGGAGGTTGCAGTGAGCTGAGATCGTGGCACTGCACTCCAGCCTGGGCAAGAGAGCAAGGCTCTGTCTCAAAAAAAAAAAAAAAAAGAAAGAAAGAAAGAAAGAAAAAAAGAAAGAAAGTTGAGTGTCTGAGGTTGGGTGGAGTGGCTCACACCTGTAATCCCAGCAGTTTGGGAGGCCAAGGCAGGAGGATCCCTTGAGCTCAGAAGTTCAAGACCAGCCTGGGCAACATAGCGAGACCTCATTTATACAAAAAAAAAAAAAAATACAAATTAGCCAGGCATGGTGGTACATGCCTGTAGTCCCAGCTACTTGGGAGGCTGAGGTAGGAGGATTTGCTTGAGCCCAGGAGGTGGAGGCTGCCATGAGCCGAGATCGTGCCATAGCACTCCAGCCCAGGCAACAGAGCAACAGCCTCCCGAAGTGCTGGGATTACAGGCATGAGCCGATGCACCTGGCCGGTTTGTTTGATATTTTTATCCATACTAGTAGGTGTGTCATGATATCTCGGTTTTTTTTTTTTGAGGTGGAGTCTCGTTCTGTGGCCCAGGCTGGAGTGCAATGGCGCGATCTCGGCTCACTGCAACCTCCACCTCCCAGGTTCAAGTGATTCTTGTGCCTCAGCCTCCCGACTAGCTGGGATTACAGGCGTGCGCCACCATGCCCGGCTATTTTTGTATTTTTAGTAGAGACGGGGTTTCATCATGTTGGCCAGGATTGTCTCAATCTCTTGACCTCATGATCCGCCTGCCTCAGCCTCCCAAAGTGCAGGGATTACAGGAGTGAGCCACCGCACCCGGCCTTTCCTAGGGTTTTCGCAGACTCTCTTTATCAATTTGAAAATGTTTCCGTCAATCCATAGCTGCTGAGAGTTTTTATCATGAATGGATGTCAAAGTTCATCAAATTTTTATTTCTTTTTTAATGAGATGATCTTATAGTTTTTCTTTCTTAGTCTATTGCTATGGTTGAATTACATTGATTTACAAATGTTTTACCAACCTTGGATTTCTGAGATAAATCTCACTTGGTCATTATATATATATATATCCATATTTGATTTTCTAACATTTTATTAATAATTTTTTGTACCTATGTTCATTAAGGATATTTATGCAATTTTTTTTCCCTGTAATAAGGAAATGGCCCGGTTTTGGTACCAGGGTAGTGCTGATCTCATAAAATGAGCTGGAAAATGTTCCCTCTTTTTCTATTTTTTTGGAAGTTTGTGTAGAATTTCTTTTTTTCTTTGAGATGAGGTCTTACTATGCTGCCCAGGTTGGTCTTCACCTCCAGGCTTCAAGCGATCCTCCTGTCTTGGCCTCCCAAAGTGTTGGGATTACAGGCATGAGCCACTACTCCCAGCCCTATTTGGTTTTTAAACACGTGCATGTGTTATTTTCATAGTATTTTTTTAAGTAAAGAGAAAAAAGAGCACCAGGTCACTCCTTGATGGAGTGCACTGCACTCCAGCCTGGGCAAGAGAGCAGGTGGAGAGGTCAGTCTAGCCACAGGCAGGCCTGGGAGGAGCTCCCTTTCTCTGGAGATTGTGCGAGGAAGCCCAGCCTCTGACCCGCCCTGCTGGGAGGCACCCCTTGGACACACTGCTCTCTCCGCCACAGCCAGTTCTGCTGGCCAGAGGCAGAGATTTAAAGCCACCTCTGAGGAAACTCCCCTTGCAGCTGGGCTCTTCAGTTGCGCCACCAGCCCCTGGGCACCCGGACCTGCCCCAGCATCTGGACGGCTGGCTGGGGAGAGGCCGTCACTCTGCATCTGCCCCTGCCCCTCCTACCTGCCCACGTCTGGAGACTGGCTTGTTCTGGCAGAGAATATGTATGTCTATGTGTCTATGTGTGTGTCTGTGTGTCTCTATGTGGGTCTATGTGTGTCTGTGTCTGTGTGTGCCTGTGCTTGTGTGCGTGCCCGTGTGTGTCTCTATGTGTGTCTTTGTGTGTCTCTGTCTCTATGTGTGTGTTTGTCTCTGTTTGTGTCTGTGTCTCTATGTTTGCCAGTGTGTGTCTGTGTGTGTATGTGCCTGTCTCTATATGTATCTGTGTGTCTGTGTGTCCCTATGTGAATCTGTGTGTGTGTGTGTCTGTGACTCTGTGTGTGTCTATGTGCATCTGTGTGTGTGTCTCTGTATGTAGGTCTCTATGTGTGTTTGTGTGTGCCTGTGTGTCTATGTGTGTCTCTATGTGCATCTGTGTCTGTATTTTTGTGTGTCTATGTGTGCCTCAATGTGCATCTGTGTGTGTCTCTGTGTGTGCGTCTGTGTCTATGTGCATCTGTGTGTGTCTGTGTCTATGTGCATCTGTGTGTGTCTGTGTGTGTCTGTCTCAATATGCATGTGTGTGTGTCTGTGTGCATCTGTGTGTGTCTCAATATGCATCTGTGTGCATCTGTGCATGTCGGTGTGTGTCTGTGTCCATCTGTGTGCGTCTGTGTGTGTGTGTCTCTGTGAGCCAATGGACTATGGAGAGTTTGGGCCAACCTTGGTGAGTCCCTTGGCCTGAGGGGCTGCCGTGGGCCTGAGCCTTGGGGCTGGGGCGGGGGTCTGAAGGCGCTGAGTGAGACTGGGGGACACGGCCTCCAGAGGTACTGAGACCCTGGGTGCGGTGGAGCTGCCTGCAGAGCCCGGGATCTGAGTGTGCCCAGCCCAGGAATCTGCAGGGGATGTGGCTCTTGACCCAAACTCTGTCTCTCCTTCTGTCGTGTGTGTGTCTGTGTGTCATGCGTGCGGTGTGTGTGCCATGTTTGTGTCTCGTGTGTTGTGTGTGTCATGTATGTCATGTATTGTCTGTGTAGTGTCTCTGTGTGTGCCCCGCGTGTGTTGTGTGGATGTGTCATGTGTGTTGTGTGTGGTGTGTGTGTATCGTGAGTGGTGTGTGTGGTGTATGTGTGTTGTGTGTGTGGTGTGCGTGTGTGGTGTGTGTGCATCATGTGTGGTGTGTGTGTATCGTGAGTGGTGTGTGTGATGTGTGTGTGTCATGTGTGTATAGTGTGTGTTTATGTGTTGTGTGTGTTGTGTGTGGTGTGTGTATTGTGTGTGCTGTGTGTGTGGCGTGTGGTATGTGGTGTGTGTTGTGTGTGTTCTGTGTGTGCTGTGTGTGTGGTGTGTGGTGTGTATTTGTGTTCTGTGTGTGTGAGATGTGTGTTTGTGGGGTGTGTGTGGGGTGTGTGTGTGGGGGGTGTGTGGTGTGTGTGTGGCGTTGTGTGTGGTGTGTGTGGTGTCTATTGGGTATTGTGTGTGTTCTGTGTGTAGTGTGTGTGATGTGGGTGTTTCTGGTGTGTGTGTGGTGTGTGGTGTTTGTGGTGTGTTTGTGGGTGTGTGTGGGTGTGTGTGTGGTGTGTGGTGTGGGTGTGATGTCTGTTGTATATGGTGTGTGTGATGTGTGTGGGGGTGGGTGGTGTGTGTGGTGTGTGTGTGGTGTGTGTTTTGTGTGTGTTGTGTGTGGTGTTTGTGGGGTGTGTGTGTGGTGTGTATTGTGCATTGTGTGTGTTGTGTGTGTGGTGTGTGTGATGTTTGTGTTTGTGTGGTGTGTGTGGTGTGTGTTGTGTATTGTGTGTGTTCTGTGTGTGATGTGGGGTGTGTGTGTGGTGTGTGTGTGGTGTGTGTTGTGTATTGTGTGTTTTCTGTGTGTGGTGTGTGTGATGTGTGTGGGGTGTGTGTGTGTGGTGTGTGTGGTGTATTTGTGGGGGTGTGTGTGTGGTGTGTGTGGTGTGTGTATCTGTGGGGTGTGTGTGGTGTGTGGTGTGTATTGTGTTTTCTGTGTGTGATGTGTGTGTGGTGTGTGTGCTGTGTGTTTGGGGTGTGTGGTGTGTGTATTTGTGGGGTGTGTGTGGTGTGTGTGTGGTGTGTGTGGTGTGCATGTGGTGTGTTATGTATTGTGTGTTTTCTGTGTGTGGTGTGTGCGGTGTGTTTGTGGAGTGTGTGTGGTGTGTGTGTGTGGTGTGTTTGTGGGGGGTGTGTGTGTGGGGGGGTGTGAGGTGTGTGTGAGGTGTGTGTGTGGTGTGTATTGTGTGTTTTCTGTGTGTGGTGTGTGTGGTGTGTTTGTGGAGTGTGTGTGGTGTGTGTGTGTGGTGTGTTTGTGGGGTGTGTGTGTGGGGGGGTGTGTGAGGTGTGTGTGTGGTGTGTATTGTGTATTTTCTGTGTGTGGTGTGTGTGGTGTATCTGTGGGGTGTGTGTGGTGTGTGTGGTGTGTGGTGTGTATTGTGTTTTCTGTGTGTGATGTGTGTGTGGTGTGTGTGCTGTGTGTTTGGGGTGTGTGGGGTGTGTGTGGTGTGTGTGTGGTGTGTGTGGTGTGTGTGTGGTGTGTTATGTATTGTGTGTTTTCTGTGTGTGGTGTGTGTGGTGTGTTTGTGGAGTGTGTGTGGTGTGTGTGTGGTGTGTTTGTGGGGGGTGTGTGTGGGGGGGTGTGTGAGGTGTGTGTGAGGTGTGTGTGTGGTGTGTATTGTGTATTTTCTGTGTGTGGTGTGTGTGATGTGTGTGTTTGTGGAGTGTTTGTGGTGTGTATGTGGGGGGGTGTTTGTAGAGGGGGGATGTGTTTGCGGGTGTGTGTGTGTGTGAGGCCCCCGCGTGTCGCTCACTCCTTCAGGGCCTCTTCGGAGCAGCAAGGATGCCAGGGCTCTGGAGGGGCTGCCTCTCCCCCAGAAGGCCTGGCCAGGGCGAGCCTCCAGGGCTGAGGTGCGAGGGGCTCCCGTCCAGGCACACCCAAGACCCAGTGCAGCGAGGTGGGGGAAGGGTGTGTCCCTCTGGCCCGGCTGCAAATCTGATCATGGGCCCCCAGCGACGGTGCCGGGTGCAGGCACTGGGGTAGGCAGCCTCGGAGGCCCCTGGTGACCAGGACTCTCGCTCCAGCCTCTCCGGCCACCTCAACCCTGCACGCAGCAGGTGTTCCCCAATCAGGGCACCAGGATGGACCCTCGGCCGAGATGGGGCTGGTCAGAGACCAGAGTGTGTGTGTGTGTGACCCGGGTGTGGCCGCGCCTGGAGGTCCATCTCTGTGGAAGGCTGGGCTCTCCTCCCCGTTTCACAGATGGGGCGCCCAGGGCTCTGGAGGTGGCTTGCCAGGGAAACCCTCAGACCCCCTGGAGCCGGGTCCTAGGGAAAGTTTGGTGGGCGCTGCCCAGCCTGGCCCTGGCTTGTGGGAAGCAGGCTGGACTGAGGGACTCAAAGTCGTCCTCCCATGGCCGCCCCTCCTCTCCCTGAGTGAGCCCCCCATCCTCCTGCAAAAGGGGAGGTTGTAATGAGGGCACCTGTGTCCCGGCATCTGCCTCGCCAGACACTCTCGCCCTGAGCTACCATCAAGGTCATCAGGCTCTGCGAAGTCACATTAGGCTGCATCTGGCGAGGCTCGATCAAATCAGGCCAGTTGGCGGGATGGTGGAGGTGGACGGGGCCAGGCTCCGATCAGCAACAGGTGCGGGAGCTGCGGGTCCTGGGCAGCGCCGGCGGGGAGGCAGGGGCACAGGGCAGGGAGGAGCAGCGCGATCCCTGGATTCCCCACAGGGTGCGGGGGCAGCAAGGTCTGATGGGGACAGACAAGCCTCAGGCCCGGGGCTGTGAGGGGAGCCTGGGTTGGGGGGGGTGCCCAGAGGGGGCAGGCGTGGGTGCTGAGGGGTGGTCTCAAAGCCCCTGGTGCGGGGTGAGGACCAAGATGTGTCTTGGGTTCCCTGTGGCTTCAAGGAGGGGCTGGGGAGGGAGGCTGGGGGAGGGAGGGGCTGGGAGGGCTGGAGGGGGTCCCGCAGGAAGCCCGGAAGAGGCCAAGCCTGCACTGTGCGGTGGCCCCTGGGACCTCCAGACTGTCCAGGGCCAGGAGCACCACTGGGCTTCCTGCCCCGCGCCTCCCGCCCTGCGTGCCGCTCACGGCCTCAGTGCTCCCCCCGCCAGCGCGGCGGGTGTTTCTCCACCAACTTCCCTGCTGGGCATGGGGTGGTGGCGGCGCACGGCTGTAGGGCTCACCCGGGATGGCCTGGCCTGGACCCAAGTGGACGGGACTCACCACCAAGCCTGGTCTCCCGCGTTTGAGAGGTGCAGGGGTGTCACCGAGACTGAAGGCGAGAAAAAAGCTCAGGGCAGCCGGCAGCAGTTCAGGGCCTCCGGTGAGATCCAGAAGACCCAATCGCGGCGGTGTTCTCTCCTCAGAATGTGTTTATTGAGGTCCTGACCCTCATTTCCTGAGAACGGGGCTGTATTTACAGATATGGCCTTTAAAGAGGGGATTACAGCGAGTCCTGTTCCCACATGACCGCTGGCCTTGTTTTTTTTTTCCTTTGAAATGAAGTCTTGCTCTGTCACCCAGTCTGGAGTGCAGTGTCACGAGCTTGGCTCACTGCAACCTCCACCTCTTGGGTTCAAGTGATTCTTCTGCTTCGCCTCCTGAGCACCTGGGATTACAGGCACCCACCACCACACCCGGCTAATTTTTGTATTTTTTAGTAGAGATGAAGTTTCCCCATGTTGGTCAGGCTGGTCTCGAACTTCTGACCTCAGGTGATCCACCCGTCTCGGCCTCCCAAAGTGATGGGATTACAGGCGTGAGCCACCGCGCCTGGCCCACCCCCACCCCCACCCCCATCCCCCACTTTTTTTATTTTTTGAGACGGAGTCCCACTCTGTCACCCAGGCTAGAGTGCAATGGTGCGATCTTGGCTCACTGCAACCTCCGCCTCCTGGGTTCAAGCGATTCTCCTGCCTCAGCCTCCCGAGTAGCTGGGATTACAGGCGCTGGCCACCACACCTGGCTAATTTTTATATTTTTAGTAGAGACGGGGTTTCACCATGCTGACCAGGCTGGTCTGGAACTCCTGACCTCAGGTGATCCGCCCGTCTTGGCCTCCCAATGTGCTGGGATTATAGGCATGAGCCACCACGCCCGGCCTGAGTCGTGTCCTGAGAAAAAGAGATAAGGGCCAGGCTCAGTGGCTCACACCTGTAATCCCAACACTTTGGAAGGTCGAGGTGGGAGGATGGCTTAAAGCCAGTTGAGCCTGGGCAACATAGTGAGACCCCATCTCTACAACAAAATATAAAAAATTAGTCGGGTGTGGTGACACATGTCTGTGGTCCCAGCTACTTGGGAGGCTGAGGTAGGAGCATCACCTGAGCCTGGGAGGTCTAGGCTGCAGTGAGCTATGATAACACCACTGCACTCCAGCCTGGGTGACAGAGAGAGAGAGACCCTGTCTTCAAAAAAAAAAAAAGAAGAAGCGAAAAGAAAAAGAAGAGAGACTAGGACACAGATACACACAGAGGGATGACTCTGTGTGAGGAGTCAGGAGAAGAGGGCCATCTACAAGCCAGGGAGAAAGGCCTCAGGAGGAACCAACTCTGCAGGCACCTTGGTCTCGAACTTCCAGCCTCCAGGACAGTGGGAGAATGGGCTGCTGTTGGAGCCCTGTTCTATGGCACCTTGTTATAGAAGCCCCGGAAACGAATGCAGCTCCACCACAGCATTGACAGCGAGCCTCATTCCGAAAGCCAGAGTGCAGACGGGGCCAACCCTCGGGCCCAAGCTCTGATCCCAGGGCGGTGGCGTCTGGTCTGCCTCCCGTGTTGAAGTCAGGGCCCCGGTGGCAGCGGGGGGTGGGACGCTATGACCTGGATGCGGTATTTGGGTAGAAGCCTCTTAGATCCCTGCCCTCTGTTCCCTCCGCAGTGGCGGGAGTGGCTCCCACTGCCGGGACCTTGCAAAGGTCTCACCTGAGGCGAGTGTCCTCCTTAGGGTCTGCCTGTCCTCGTCCCCCGCAAAATTCTAGGCCAGTAACTAGGGTGTTCTGTCCCTGCGACTGGAGGGTGTGGGTTATTCTGCAAGGAGCTGCGGCCTGGCAGGACGGGGAGGACGGGTGGAAATGGAGATGGAGGATGCTGGAGGGGAGGGCGGAAGAAGGCCCGCGTGGGGCCTTTATTGATTGAAAGGAGCATTTTCCAAATCCCGGTAAGGATGCCGGGAACCAGGCCGAATCCGCTGCTGGGTCAGCTCCTGGGAGCTTGGGGCAGGTGCACAGGCTGCCTCGGCCCAGTGTCGAGGGAGGGCCGGGAGACGGAGGAACAGGAGTGCTGGGTTGTGTTTTTGAGCTGGGAGGTGCTGGTATTGGAAAAGGACCCGGAGGACACGCTGGTCGCCAGGCGATAAGGAACCACCGGCCCTCAGCATCAAGGAGCTCAGTGTCCCCCTGGGCCAGGGTTGGTGGCAGAAGAGCCTCCCTCGGAACTGGCTCCTAGTATGTCAGGGTGAGGGGACCCCAGAATGGCATCAACAAGGAACGCGTGGCCCATCGACAGGCGGCAAGTCAGGCATGGCTCCCTGGGGCTTGGGCCTCCAGGAGGCGAGGACTTGGTGTCCTAAGGGGCAGGTATTAGCTGTCTACTGCCCGTAACAAATCACCCGACACTCAGTGCCGTAGAAGAGCAGGCATTTATTATCTCCAAGTTTCTGTAGGACAGAAGTCTGGGTCCCCTGCTCAGGGACCTTCACAAGGCTGCAGCCGAGGTGTGGGCCAGGCCCGTGGGCCTCTCAAGGCCCGACTGTGGGGTCCCTTTGCAAGCTCACCCTCCACCGTCTCAGGCCTCGGGTCCCTGACTGCTGGCTGGAGGCCTCAGTTTCTTGCCACGAGGGCTTTTTCTTGGGGCGGCTCAGCACCTGGCAGCCAGCTCTGCTCAGAATGTGTAAGAGAGAGAGAGGAAAACAGAAGCCCAGTGTTGGCGTGACCTCCCCTTGGAAGGACAGCCCGTCACTTTGGCTACAACCTATTCATAGAAGGGAGCCCGCTCCCACCCACACTCCAGGTGGGGGTAACTCACTGGGGCACCAACACAAGTGGGCTCGTGGGGCCACCCTAGAGGCTATGATGGATAGAGGGAGCAATGGATGGGCACACAGGAGTGCCACAAAAGAGACAAGAGTGGGTGACCTGCTGGGCACAGTGGCTCATGCCTGTAATCCCAGGACTCTGGGAGGCCAAGGTGGGTGGATCATCCGAGGTTGAGAGTTCGAGACCAGCCTGACCAACATGGAGAACCCTGTCTCTACTAAAATACAAAATTAGCCAGGTGTGGTGGTGCATGCCTGTAATCCCAGCTACTCGGGAGGCTGAGGCAGGAGAATCACTTGAACTCGGGAGGCAGAGGTTGCAGTGAGCCAAGATTGCGCCATTGCACTCCAGCCTGGGCAACAAGAGCAAAACTCCGTCTCAAAAAATAAATAAATAAAAAAAGAAGAAGAAGAGTGGGTGACTCCTTGCCGACATTCCAGACCTGAGCCTGGTCTCAGGCAGCCACACAAGGAGAGAGGAAACCACACAGGTCACTTGTGAGCTGTGAGTATGGGCCAGGCACAGCGGCTCACACCTGTTATCCCAGCACTTTGGGAAGCCAAAACAGGAGGATTACTTGAGACCAGGGGTTTGAGACCAGCCTGGACAACATAGTGAGACTCTGTCTCTACTACAAAATTTTAAAATTAGGCCAGGTGTGGTGGCTCACACCTGTAATCCCAGCATTTTGGGAGGCCAAGGCAGGCGGATCATGAGGTCAGGAGATGGAGACCATCCTGGCTAACACAGTGAAACCCCATCTCTACTAAAAATACAAAAAATTAGCTGGGCGTGGTGGTGGACGCCTGTAGTCCCAGCTACCCGGGAGGCTGAGGCAGGAGAATGGCAAGAACCTGGGAGGCGGAGCTTGCAATGAGCTGAGATTGAGCCATTGCACTCCAGCCTGGACGACAGAGCGAGACTCTGTCTCAAAAAAATAAAAAATAAAAAATTAGCCAGGTGCAGTGGTATGTGCTTGTGGTCCCAGCTAATTGGGAGGCTGAGGTGGGATGATCGCCTGAGCCTGGGAGGTCAAGGCTGCAGTAAACCGTGATCGTGCCACTGCACTTTAGCCTGGGCAACAGAGAGCGAGACTCCATCTCTAAAAAAGTATTAAACATAGGCCAGGTGCAGTGGCTCACACCTGTAATCCCAGCACTTTGGGAAGCCAAGGCGGGCGGATCACCTGAG